>NW_025791758.1:0-211934 GCF_000001405.40 Homo sapiens
ATTCTATGGAGAGAGAAAGAGATCCTGTTCAATGGGGGTAATGTAGAATCGGGAAAGGTTTCACCAAAGAGTTGGGCATGAGCTGGGTGGTCTTTGAAGGAAGGATAGGACCCAAACATTGAGACAGTAGGACAAAGCAGTGCATGTGAGAGACCAGGCTTGACAATGATGCATATCGGAAAGACCTGAACATTTAGGTAACCATAAGCTCAGTATGAGCCAGTAACGTGATGGAACTGCTAAGAGCTAATGTGGTCTTTGGCTCTGGGAAGAAGAATCACATTCCAGTCAAGAAAGCTGAAGAGTGTTACTGTACTTGTAACTGACTCCATCTGAAGCAAGATACTGACATGTAAGAGAGCACTGAGAAGAGGATTAACCAAATGTCCAAGGGGCTCTGCCATATATAAGGGATGTGGCCGTGGGCAGGTTACTTCTTCTCTCTCATCTTCATTTGCCTTATCAATAAAATCAGAATGAAGTTTATTGCGCAGGGTTCATAGTGAGGGTTAAATGAGATTGTATGAGAATACCTACTAAAGTGCCTGGCACATGGGAAATACTTCAAATGATTCTTGAAAAAGAAGTCTTCATTAAGTGAAGAATTACGAACAAACTGATCTTGGAGCTGTGGTACCTGTCTTTAACTATTTAATGGGCAATCCGCATAGAAGAGGGGCAGACTTATTGAATCGTACAGGAAAAGAATCAGTGAGTGGAAATGAAAAGGAACCGCATTAGGGTTTGGCATAAAGAAGAATGTACAAATGGTCAGAAAAGACCAAATACAGAGAATGTTTAGTCAAGAACAGCCACCAATTCTTGGTGATTTTAGACCAAGATATAGAAGAATGAATTTCTGTTTTGAGTAAGTGATTGAACTACCTGATTTCTTAGCGGTATGCGCCGGTAGTCCCAGCTACGCTGGAGGCTGAGGTGAGAGGGTCGCTTGAGCTTGGGTGGTTAAGGCTTCAATGAGCTGAGATCACACCACTGCACTCTAGCCTGGATGACAGAGCAAGACCCTATCTCTAAATAAATAAGTAAATAAAATAAAAAATAAAATTTGAACTAGCTGATTTCTAACATTCTTTCCAATGTCAAAGTTCTAACACAAAGCAGTGAATATGTCAACTTACATTAAAAATTTTAAGCTTCCTCAAAGTTTCACGAAGGCAGGGATCATGGCCATGTGGTCCATTTCTCCATCAATGGCCCAGAAGAGTACTGGGCATATAACATGCATTTGATAAATATTTGTTTAATGAATAAATGAATGGAATAAATAATGCATGTCAAAGTTCTTGTACACTGGAAAATACTGCAGATAGTTATAAGTAGCCATGATAATCACTGGCTTTTTTTTCTTTTTCTTTTTTTTTTTTTTGAGACAGAGTCTTGCTCTGTCACCCAGGCTGGAGTGCAGTGGCGCGATCTCGGCTCCCTGCAACTTCCGCCTCCCAGGTTTAACCGATTCTTCTGCCTCAGCCTCCCGAGTAGCTGGGATTACAGGCGTGTGCCACCGCATCCGGCTAATTTTTGTATTTTTAGTAGAGATGGGGTTTCACCAGGTTGGCCAGGCTGGTCTCGAACTCCTGACCTCAGGTGATCTGCCCGCCTCAGCCTCCCAAAGTGCTGGGATTACAGGTGTGAGCCACTGTGCCTGGCTGATAATCACTGACTTTTTTTAGTGTTCTGTTACAAGTGCTTTATATGCATTATTATAAAGACAGTGTTACAGGAGCTCGGTGTAAAAAGCACAATGCTCACTACTTCTCCTCCCCTACCACGGGAAGAAGGGAGATCTGGAGGAAACAGGAAAGACTAGGAAATTACCATCCACAGAAAAGAGGACAGAGGGTAAGACGGTGGTCTTGGTTCCATTGTGCTAAAGGCAACTGGGAGGGGCATGGCTGGGCTGCATATCCACTGATGCCTGCTAAAATAGGACGCTGAACAGAACAACTTTAGGAATGGAGATGATACAGAGAAGCGATTTTGTCTTAGAGTTACAAACCCAAGCAGAGTGAAGCTAAGAAGGTGGCATCTTTCCACTGGCGCTATGTTCATGACTCAGAAGTCTTGCATTATGGTGGCGAAGGCATAATCAACTCCCTGTAGCCGTCTACTACCTCAGTAAATTTTTAGGGTTTCCTGACTGAGACAGAATTTATTCAAAGGCCCTTGGCTTTTGGCAGTGCTTTCTCTCCTGTATCAAAGAACCAATACTTGGTCAAAAAATACAATGAAGAGTTTCCAGTAGTTAAACAGCCTGATTTCTGCTTTGCTTTTACTTTGCTGAGAAGGGCTATAGTCACAGTCTCTCTCTCTCTCTCTCAATAAATGGGAGGAGAGGGGTCTGTGGTGTCCTGAGGAAGAAATGGGTGAGGCAGTAACTTCCCCAGGGTACTATTACTCAATTAAAAAAAAAAATCTAGACCAGGCGTGGTGGCTCGCTCCTGTAATCTCGGCACTTTGGGAGGCTGAGGTGGGGAAAATCACCTGAGGTCAGGAGTTTGAGACTGGCCTTGCCAACATGGTGAAACCCCGTCTCTACTAAAAATACAAAAATTAGCGGGGCATGGTGGTGTGCACCTATAATCCCAGCTACTCAGGAGGCCGAGGCAGGAGAATCGCTTGAACCCAGGAGGCAGAGGTTGCAGTGAGCCGAGTTCGCGCAACTGCACTCCAGCCTGGGCGACAGCAAGACTCCGTCTAAAAAAAAAACAAAAACAAAAAACAAAAAAACAAAACAAAAAAAAAAGAAAAAAAGAAAAAGAAAAAATAAATTCTGTCATCAGATCTTTCCCCAATCAGTGTAGATTGGGTAATCCTATCTAAATGCCTTCTCACCCTAATCCAGATTTCTCATGCAATGTTCCCATTTTTTTTCCTTTCTTATGCCCTTTTTGGAGCCAGAGAACTCTAATTCCACGGGCTATCTGAAAAGAAGAAACCCTAGGTAATATGTATTTGGCTCCCCCAGGTTTTCTCTTCCTTGCCTGCTTCAATGTCTTTATCACTGAAGAGAGTGCATCATTTGAAAAGACAGATATAGAAGGGGAAAGGGTGCTTAAAGTCTGGGGAATACAGAGGAGGTGCCCCTCCTGGGCAGCCCCTGGATTGGAAGAAGTTCTGGTCTCTTGGTTTGTTGCCTTGTGCCGCCACCTAGTGTCCCAAGACCTTAAAATATCATACCTATATTTCATTCATTCAGTTTCATTTATTCACTGATTCTTTCCATCTTTCAGCAAAATATATTAAACCTTCCCTCTAGCCAACTATGGAGGCAAGTTGCCCTACCCCTCCAGTTGTTTCTAGGAATTCCTGTTGTCATTCTGTTCTAGACAGTTCCCTTGCTGTCCTTTGCTTTTTGTGAAAAGAGACTTTAACCTTTCTCTGAATATTCCAGGTAAATTTAATTCTAGTACTTCTTGCTATGGTTCAGACTCATTCCCTTCTGTTAGTGTAAGTGGAGACTAGGTGCTCTGTAATCCCTTCCTAACAATCCATTTCCAGTCAAGGCTCTGGGTGGATGAGAGTGTCCACTGAAGACAGCAGGAGGGAGAAATGACACAGTGTGAGGTTAGACAATGCTGTCACCTATTTGACACTTTATAAAGAGGGTCTGTATATGTCAGGATATTTCATTTTTACAGCACCCTACTGAGGTTCACAGGGCATGTATTAGCATTCCCATTTCACAGGTGAGGAAACAGGCTAAAGAAAGTCAATAGCTGGGCGTGGTGGCATGTGCCTGTGGTCCCAGCTACTTGGGAGACTGCGGTGGGAGGATCACCTGAGCCCAGGAGGTTGAGGTTGTGGTGAGCTGAGTTTGGGCCACTGCACTCCAGCCTGGACAACTAGAGTGAGACCCTGTGTCAAAAAAAAAAAAAAAAAGAAAAAAAGAAAAAGAAAAGAAAAGAAACAAAAAGAAAGTCAAGCAGTTGATTGACAGGGATGTAATGGAAAAGCTGAGCAAGTAACAGGTCTCCTGGCTCTCATTCAGGGTATACGTCTTTTTTTTTTTTTTTTTTTTTTTTTTTTTTTTTTTTTGATGGAGTCTCGCTCTGTCACCCAGGCTGGAGTGTGGTGGCATGATCTCGGCTCACTGCAACCTCCGCCTCCCGGGTTCGAGCGATTCTCCTGCCTCAGCCTCCCAAGTAGCAGGGATTACAGGCGCGCACCACCATGCCCAGTTAACTTTTTGTATTTTTAGTAGAGACAGGGTTTCACCACGATGGATGGCCAAGCTGGTTTTGAACTCCTGACCTCAAGTGATCTGCCGGCCTCGGCCTCCCACAATGCTAGGATTACAGGCGTGAGCCACCGCGCCCGGCCGAGGGTGTATGTCTTTACATCGGGCTGTCCAAAATAAGAATGGAAACCTAGAATAGAAAGCTCCTCCCAGGCCGGGAAGAGAAGACAGGCAGAGGGCAGCGGTGTCACAACAAGCCGTGCTCCAGAGGGGAGTGGATATGGCCTGGAGAGCGAGGAGGGCTTTTTCCTGCCTGAGAGGTGAGTGAGACTCCTTCTGTGGCACAAATGCTCCTCCTGGTGGCCGCACCAGGCTATGGCAGGGAAGAGGAAACGAAGGAGGCGGGCTGGAGGGGCTGAGCTGGGTTGGGAAGAAAGTCCCGGAAGTAGCATCATTTAATCGACATTGATGTGAATTTCCAGAAAGGCCGACATATTCATACTCAAATGTAAACAGATAAAATCCAGTTTGAATGTATTTTATTTATTCCCATGATTACTATTCCTATTATTAAGCTCTTAATCTTTACTAGGCACCTTTCTAAGTGTTTTACTTGCATCTTATTTAATCCTCACAACTCCATGAGAGGTTAAGCAATGGGCACTGAATCACACAAGCAGAAAGTGGTGGAGGCAGGACTTGAACCCAGATCTGCATGACTTCAAAGCCCAGAACACGGCTTCCCTCTTCCCAACATTCAGGACAGAACTGACTGTCAAAGTAGGCAAAATTTATTTATGTCAGAATCCAATGGAAAAAAATAGTCTCTCGTTTTAGGGGTATCCCTGATGTATTCCAGCTTCCAAGTACTGATTCCCTCCTAAAAGGCAATTCAGGTCAGACATACAGCACAACAGCTCACCTGACAGAACCTGGAATGCAGAAGTGGAAGGATTAGCAAGAATGGACCAAATGTTTGATTAATTTGAATCAGTCAAACTAAAATTGGTACATTGTACATGCCTACTCTGGACACTGCTTAGTGGGGGAGATAATGTTCGAGATACAGAGATGGCTAAGAAATAGTCCATATCCTCTGAGAACATAAAAGAGTAGAGGGGGAGACAAACATTTACAAAAGTATCTCTGAGATGAGGAAAAATATGGTTTAAAAAAAGGCAAAAATACTAAGAGTGGGAGTTGGAAGAGGTAGACCTAAATGACTCCTTGGAAGATTTGAAAGGGTTTTCTGGCCAGGTGTGGTGGTTCAAGCCTATAATCCCAGTACTTTTGAAGGCTGAGGAGGGAGGATCGCTTGGGCCCAGGAGTTCGAGGTTGCAATGAGCTATGATTGCGCCAGTGCATTCCAGCCTTGGTGACCGAGTGAGACCCTGTCTCAAAATTTAATTAATTAATTATTATTATTATTATTTGAGGTGGAGTTTCGCTCTTGTTGTCCAGGACGGAGTGCAGTGGTGCGATCTTGGCTCACCGCAACCTCTGCCTCCCGGGTTCAAGCAATTCTCCTGCCTCAGCCTCCCGAGTAGCTGGGATTACAGGCATGTGCCACCACACATGGCTAATTTTCTATTTTTAGTAGAGATGGAGTTTCTCCATGTTGGTCAGGCTGGTCTCGAACTCCCAACCTCAGGTGATCCATCCACCTTGGCTTCCCAAAGTGCTGGGATTACAGGTGTGAGCCACCGCGCCCGGCAATTAATTTTTAAAAAGAAAGGGTTTTCTGTGGAGGTGGCAGCTGAACTGGACTTTAAGTATTGATAGGATTTCAACAGACACATATGAGAAGGGGGGTTAGATAGGGAAGAAAGGGAATTACAGAGAGAAGCAATAGCAAGAACAAAGACTTGGGTCATGGGGGGAAGTGCAGGGCATGCTGAAAACTTGTGTTCTTGGCTAGATGGAATATAAGGTTCACCAAGGGCATAGGCAGGAGATAAGGCTGGCATTAGAGGGTAGAGAGCCTTGGACACCAGGCTAAAGGGTTAGAACCCCACTCGGCAATAGGAATCATTTAGGATTTTCACTTGTAAGGAGTAATGTTTAAAAGTATGCTTTATAATGACATCTGTCAGTGATAGTTGAAGAAGGTTTGCTAATTTCCAGGCAAAAGAACACTGAGGCCAGGTGCAGTGGTCTCATGCCTGTAATCCTAACACTTTGGGAGGCCAAGCAGGAGAATGGTTTAAGGCCAGGAGTTTGAGACCAGCCTGGTCAACAGAGCAAGATGCTGTCTCTACCAAAAAAAAAAAAAAAAAAAAAAAAAAAAAAAAAAAAAAAAAAGAGAGAGAGAGAGAGAGAAAGGAACAGTGAGGCTGGCCTAAGGAGTTGGTGGTGGGCAGATAAAGAGAGGGCAGATGTACTATACAGTGAACATGGGGGACCTGGAAACTGGCTGGATATGGTACTGAGGAGCAGGGAGAGATTATGTGGTGAAACTCCACACAGAGGCGTGGGCACTAACTAAACTTATTGAATATCACCACTTTCTGGTAGTTTCCTTATCTCTAAAAATGGACATAGTAAATCAGCCTTACACGGTTATTGTGGAAAGACTGGATTTGATTCTGCATGTAAGGTACCTGGCAAATAAAGCAGGCACTCAGTATGTGGCAGCTATTATTTTTATGGGTTTGAGCATGATGACTAAAAGTTTGATGATGACATTGACCAAAGTAGGAAACACAGTGGGAGGAGCGGGTTTTTCTCTTTGTCTGTGTGTGGCAGTGGGGATGGTGGGGGAAACTGGCTAACAAATTCAGTTTGAGATCTGTGGAATTTGAGGAATCGCATCCAGGTAGAGCTGTCTAGGAGGCAACTACATAATTTGGGTCTGGAATTCCATTTGGGCTATGAATCAGCAAGATAAAGGAGAAAACTGAAGCCACAGGATCAGGTGAGAAAACCCAGAGGGAGGGAAGAGCTAGGAGAGTGATGGTTGAGACACATGAACATGGCCTGCAGGCCTGCGGGATCCCAGCCCTCACTGAGAGAGGAGAATCAGGAAAGGGCGAACCATGCAGCCGGGAGAAGACAGCCTCAGGCGGAAGGGCAGGGACCTGCACCCCAGGCTACCACGAGGTGAAGAAAAGGCTTTTGATAGGGCTTTAAAGTTGCCTAAGACCCCGAAGACTGCCATTTCAGGAGTGAGGAGCTGGACCCCAGAATTCAAGATGCTGAGAGGTACATGAGAGTCAATAGACACTTCTCAGCACTCTAAAGTCTGATGGGGACTGGGCGTGGTGGCTCACGCCTGTAATCTCAACACTTTGGGAGGCTGAGGTGGGCAGATCACCTGAGGTCAGAGTTCGAGACCAGCCTGGCCAACATGGTGAAACCCCATCTCTACTAAAAATACAAAAAAAATTAGCCGGGCGTGGTGGCGGGCGCCTGTAATCCCAGCAACTCTGGGGGCTGAGGCAGGAGAATCACTTGAACCTGGGAGGTAGAGGTTGCAGTGAGCCAAGATTGTGCCACTGCGCCCCAACCTGGGCAACAGAGCAAGACTTCGTCTCAAAAAAAAAAAAAAATAATGGTGAAGGAAGGAGAAAAGAATATGGTAGTTTGAGGATAATGGAATTCTTTTTCTTTTTTCTTGTGTAGAAGAGATTTAAGTATGTTTTTGGCAGAGGGAAGAAATTACTACTCTATTAATGGGAGGCAGCAATGGCATAATGCAAAGGTTAGGGGAGGAAAGAAGGACAAAGTGCTTTTGAAAGGTCATTCTCAACAAGGAGGGGGAAAATAATCTCTCAGAGACAGGAATTTAGGAAGAGAGGGAGATAGAGGAAGATACTAAAGAGTTACAAAAAAATTACTTTGGAAGCTTGCGCAGGTTGGCCTAGAAACCTCTATGAACAAGAGCAGCAACAGTGGGGTTAGAGGAAAGTGGAGAAGATTGGGAATTATCCCTATGGGAAATTGGTCCCTCTCTGCCTTTCAATTAAGTTGTGTGCCCCAGGGGAGTTGTGAGGGTACTTGGAAGGGAATGATGAAGGATTTAGGGAAAAGGTGGAGCTGAGAGTTGGAGGGTCAGATATAATCTATTACAATGGCAACAATTAAAATGATAATATCCAATATTGGCAAGGATGTTATCATATACTGAGGTATAATTTTTCTGGAAGGCCAATTTGGCAAAATGTATTAAAATCTTTTCAAATGCGTATACTTCGTGGCCCTCTATTTGCAGTTCTAAGTATTCAATCTAAGGAAATAAAAGATATGTACAGATATGTTCAGTGCTCTTTATTTATTTGAAACAGAGTCTCACTCTGTTGCCCAGGCTGGAGAACAGTGGTGCGATCATGGTTCACTGAAGCCTTGACCTCCCAGGCTCATATGATCCTCCCACCTCAGCCTCCTGAATAGGTGGGACCACAGGCATTCTCTACCACTCTCGGCTAATTGTTTTATTTTTTGTAGAGACAGGGTCTCCTTATGTTGCCCAGGCTGGTCTTACTCTTGGGATCATATAATCCTCCCACCTCAGCCTCCCAAAGTGTTGGGATTACAAGCACAGGCCACCACACCTGGACTCACTCGGTACTATTCCTGATAGCTAAAAAAAAAAAAAAAAAAAAAAAAAAGAGGAAACAATCAAATTTTCAACAAGGCAGTAGAATACAGTACATGGTTAGAAGATAATACTTATCAGGCACTAAAAATGTCGAAAAGTATTTATTGGCATGATCAAATGATCATGACATTAGTAAGTGTAAAAGAAAACATAATACATAAAATATAAGTATATTCCTATTCTTTTAAATACCTACCTGTCTACATACACAGATACATGCATACACATATTTAGAGAGAGGGAGGGAAGGAGAGAGAGAGGTATCTGGCTTGAGCAGCTAGGGAAGTAGTGTGACCATTAGCTAGGACAAAGAATTTAGGAGAAATTAGCAGTGTCGGTGCAGAAAATACAGAGTTCCTGTTAGGTTTAACCTGTGAAATATCCTGGGGATATGCCACAAGCGTGGCTGCACACATAGGTCTGAAGCTCAAGAGAGAGATTTCAGCTATAGACATCAGGAGCCATCAGCCTTTAGAGGTTGCTTAAAACTTAGGAGTAGATGATACTACCCTGAAAAGGAGTAAAGAAGAGAGGGCAGCCGAAGACAGACCGCCTCCCCCCATCCTCAGCAATTAAACAATACTATTTACAGGGTGGGCAAAAGGAGTAGAGCCTGCAAAGAATAGTCTCTAAATTGCTAGCAATCTATAGTTCTACTACCCCAGCCGAGTACTGGAAACATGTAACCTTGTTTCCACTTTATTGATAAAATGCACAGGAGCTCTCCTCCATCACCTTTCCTCACTCAAGGGTCTGTGTATAATTCTGACTCATGCCTTTAACCCTTCTGCCTAATTCAGAGGCGACTTCTCACCTCCTTGTAAAGGCCAACCAATTCCTTGAATCCGCTAACTTCTCAATTGTCTCCCTCTGATGGTGTACTCTGAGATGTTCTCTTTATCAAACATTTTCAGCATCCCCTGTGCCACTAGCTTTGTTTCCTTTACTTACAAATACGCCAGGATTTTCTCGATCCTGAGAACTCTAACTGGCATGATTGTCTCCAATATTTCCTGCTGTTTCCTCCCTATAGTGCCAAACTTCTCCAATGCATGGTCTACACTCACTCCACAGCCCTCTTCCTTATAAACCACGGCAATGTCAAGCAACTCCCTAAACTGAAACTGCCCCCTCAAAAGTTACTGGTAATCTCCTTATCTTAAAATCCAGTGGGTTTCATTTGGCCATCACAGTCTTTGATCCTTCTGCAAATTTGATGACGCTGACCATCTTTCTTTCTTGAAAACTCTTTCCATTTTGGTTCAATTAACACTTACCGGTTCCCCTTTGGTTCAATAAACATTGACTGAACACCTCTTAGGTGCTAAAATAAAAAAGATACAATACTTGATATCGGAGTGTGAGAAGTTTTAACCTAGTTGGGAAGTGTCAATGAATTTCACAACAGAGATCTTTGCCCTGTTGAGAAAGGCTGAAGTGGTAGATGCAAACTCTGTGAGTTGAGGAGTTCAGCCAACTTACAATGGGAAGAGAGGGAGAGGAAATAGCAAACGTAATTGATATTGTCAAGAAATTTACTGGAGAAGAGAAAAAGAAAACTTTCTAGAAAATGCCTATAAGTGGCTATAGGACAATGGAGCAGTGTTTTCAGAATGTGGAGAGGCTTCAGCATGTTCTTAGAATGAAGAGAAGTGCAAGTAGACAAGAAGAAGTTGAAAACAGAGGAGAGAGAGAAGATAATGGATGGGGCAAAGTCCTGGAAGTACCAGGAAGTGTTGGGATGCATATCACAGAGCTGCTATGAACAGAGGGAGGGCGCTCTTCCACTACATCGTACTGAAGCATGTATGATTTGAGGGTGAAAAAGAGTTCCTCCTTTGGTACTATACTGGAGAGGTTATAGATAGGTGGCCCAAATACTTGGCCTAAAGATGTGGTTTTTTTTTTTGATCTGCAAAGAATTTTAAAGTAATTGGAACTTGTTGCTAACACTTACAGATCATGAGATTTCAAATAAAAATCTGTATTACCAGCTTCTTAAAAACTAGGCCAGGGGTAGTGGCTCATGTCTGTAATCCCAGCACTTTGGGAAGCCAAGGCAGGTGGATCATCTGAGACCAGGAGTTCGAGACCAGCCTGGCCAACATGGTGAAACCCGTCTCTACTAAAAACACAAAAATTAGCCAGGTGTGGTGGTGTGCGCCTGTAATCCCAGCTGCTCGGGAGGCTGAGGCAGGAGAATTGTTTGAACCCAGGAGGTGAAGGTTGCAGTGAGGCGAGATCACGCCACTGTACTCCAGCCTGGTGACAGCCAGTCTGTCGCAAAAAAACAAAAAACAAAAACAACAATAACAAACAAACAAAAACCTGGAAGATGTGGCAACACTCACATTGGTAACATGACACAGCTGACTTTAGATGGGCCATGGCCTCTCCAGTCTCCACAACTCCCTAACGCTTACCACTGGACCACTTCACTCATTTGCATGATAGTCCTCTAGGCATCTGATTCTGTCACTCCTTCTATTATTATCTCCCCTGCTTTTCAGACTGACTCTTCCATGTTACTTTCAGTGGCTTCTCTCTCTCGTATTGGATAGCTAGATGTTACTTCTGTTCTCAATCTTTTCCCACATGTTTTTCCTCTGATAACTTGTTCAGCTATCATTTCCATGTAGATCACTTGCAACTCGGTATTATAAAATCATTTAATATTGAAGTTGAAAAAGAATTTAGAAATCAAATAATTCAATCTTCTCAATCTCTGAAACCTTGTTGGGTAACAGAATTCTGTAACTCAAAAGAACTTTAGAAATTAATCAGCAGTTTAATTTACAAATAAGGAAATTGAGGTCTCGGAGAGATTAAGCAATACTTTCTACCTCACCACACAATTCTGAGCAATTCAGTACACATTTTCTGGGCTCCTACTTTCTGCAAGGCACTGTGGGGGAATATAAAGTTGAACAAGGCAGAATTCCTTCCCTCAAGAAAGCCACTTCTGTTGGAGCAGACAGACATGCACTGTGGTCTGTCCTGTAATGTGGTAAGTCCTATAATGGAGAAATGAACATAATATTATGGGACAACAGAGGGAAGCAAAGTTTCTTTTCTTTTCTTTCTTTTTTTTTTTGAGACGCACCCTCGCTCTGTCGCCAGGCTGGAGTGCAGTGGCGCCATCTCGGCTCACTGCAACCTCCACCTCCCAGGTTCAAGTGATTACCCTGGCTCAGCCTCCCAAGTAGCTGGGACTGCAGGCGCATGCCACCATGCCCGACTAATTTTTTGTATTTTAGTAGAGACGGGGTTTCACCATGTCGGTCAGGCTTGTCTCGAACTCCTGACCTCGTGATCCGCCCGCCTCGGCCTCCCAAAGTGCTGGGATTAGAGGCACGAGCCACTGCACGCGGCCCGAGAAGCCAAGTTTTAATACTGGATATCTGTTTTTTTAACTAGATGAGTAGGATCTTAAGAAGGGGATGGGCACGTTCTTCCTTATAGCTATCGTTGCACGTATGTATCTTTACTATATGAGGGAATAGACTTATGCAAATGAAGGGATTTGTCCAAGATGACACTGTTAATTAAAGACAAGGTTAGGTCTAGAAATCAGGTCTCCTAACTCCAACTCCAGTGCTCTTTCCCTTATATCTCAGTGTGACATATCACCCCTTATCTCTCTTGAGCACTATCCCATATTGTTAATTGCCTGTTAGGCATTTCTTCCAGTTAGGGTGGATCAAAAATCCTGTGGCCACATACAACACACAACAATATACATAACCATAACAACATACTTCATATCTATTTTGGCAATAAGTCCTGTTAACTTGTCCTTCCAAATGTTTTTTGGGGGTGAGATGCAGTGGCTCACGCCTGTAATCCCAACACTTTGGGAGGTTGAGGAGGGAGGATCACTTGAAACCAAGAGTCCAAGACCAGCCTGGGGAACATGACAAGACTCTGTTCTACAAAATTTAAAAATTAGCCAGATACAGTGGTGTGCACCTGTAGTCTCAACTACTTGGGAGGCTGAGACGGGAAGATCGCTCGAGCCCAGGAGTTCAAGGCTGCAGTGAGCTATGATCATGCTCGCTGCACTCCAGCCTAGGTGACAAAGTGAGACTCTGTCTCAAAAAAAAAAAAGTCTTTTTAATCTAGGCCTTTCTTTGGCAACCACTTCTACGACCCTAGTGGAAGTGGACAAACTTATTATCTTAATACGGTTTTGCCTTCAGCCTCTGAAAGACTCATAGAGCCTTATAGTTGAAAAGAACCTCAGAGGTTATCTATATCCAAACTTCAGCTGAAGACAGAATTGTTTCTATATTACTTCTGATCCTGACAATGGTCAGCCAGCTGCTGTGCAGGGCACTCCCTACCTTCAGAGGCAGCTCATTTCACTAGCAGACACCAGGGTAATTACAAAGTTCTGTCACTCACCTATGAAACATGTTTACTAACATGCCAGACACAGTGCTTGGGACACTGGATATATAGCTGCACAGGGTCCCCATTGGCCTTAAGTAACTTTCAGTTACTTGAGTCTCTTCATCTCTAACATGGAGATTATTGAAGCCTTCTTGTGAGAATCACCTGGTATAAAGTGTGTAGAAATGCTCTTTAACTAAGGGCAATACATGTAAGGCTTTCCCCTCCAGCTCCCTCCTCTTTTTTTTTTTTTTTTTTTTTTTTTTGATTGAAGACTGGGTCTTGCTCTGTCCCCCAGGCTGGAGTGTAGTGGTGTGATCTCGGCTCACTACAGCCTAGACCTCCTGGGCTCGAGCAATCCTCCCACCTCAGCCTCCCAAGTAGCTGGGACTACAGGTGCACGCCACTGTGCCCGGCTAATTTTTGTATCTTTAGTAGAGATGGGGTTTCACCATGTTGCCCAGGCTGGTCTCGAACTCCTGGACTCAAGTGATCCACCCGCCTCAGCCTCCCAAAGGCAAGGGATTACCGGCATTAGCCACCACGCCCGGCCAGCTTTCCCTCTCTTCAACTATGTAATGTACTGGGGTGGGAGGCTGTGATTCCATTATCATCTTTTAAATTACATTTTATACATACAAAAGAATAATTATAATGTATACATGTGTTATATACTTAATTAGGTTAATACCCATAAACCTACCTTTTATCCCAAAAACTGCACCATTACCAATGGCATCCACCTGTGTGTTTTTTCTCCTCCCATCCCCAATCTCTCTACGGTAACTATTAATACATTTTGTGCTTATCATTCCTTGCTTTTCCCAAAGTTTTATCATATATGTAAACACAATATTGCTTAATTTTGCTTGTTTTGGAACTCCTGGGCTCAGGTGATCTTCCCGCCCTGGCCTCACAGAGTGCTGGGATTACAGGCGTGAGCCACTGAGCCTGGCCTGTTCCTAAGATTGATCCACTCCGATTATGTACTTTGTACCTATTTTCCAAGCCTCATCTTCTTCACGCAGCCTTCAGATCACAGGAGCACAAAGTGATCTTTCCCGTTTCTGAACGCCTCTAGCACTCATTTTCTATTAAAAAAAAAGAAAAAGAAAAAAAAAAGAAAGACTGAAACTGCCTTTTTCTTGATCTTATGTGCCGTTAGGCCAACTAAACACAAGCTTCTTGGAGAGCAAGGAAACTGCTTATCATGGTAGAAGAGCACTGAATGGGGCCAGGAGCAGTGGCTCACGCCTGTAATCCCAGCACTTTGGGAGGCCGAGGCGGGCGGATCACCTGAGGTCAGGAGTTCGAGACCAGCCTGGCCAACATGGTGAAACCCTGTCTCTACTAAAAATACAAAAAAATTAGCCGGGCGTGGCGGCGGGCGCCTGTAATCCCAGCTACTCGGGAGGCTGAAGCAGGAGAATCGCTTGAACCCGGGAGGCGGAGGTTGTAGTGAGCCGAAATCGCGCCACTGCACTCCAACCTGGGCGACAGAGCAAGACCTTGTCTCAAAAAACAAACAAAATAAAAACAAAGAGCACTGAATGGGGAGTTGGGTCGCCAGGGTTCCAGGCCATTTCACCTTGACCGGCAGTGTCCTTGGACTCGTCCCCTTCACCTTCCTGAGCGTCAGCTTCTTTACTTGACAACCTGTTTTTTGTTTTGTTTTGTTTTGTTTTTTTGTGAGGAACTTCTGAGACAATGGATATAACTCACTTCGTAAACTGCGAAGCATCCTCCTCAAATCAATGTTCGTGCCATCGTTGGTTCCCCGCTCCTAGAGGGGCCTCTGCACAAAGACCCAGGCCAGTGACTCGCTGTGTTTGGGGACGGTCGTGTCGCCCCCAAGGCAGGGGCCAAGATGCTTCCTTTCTTCTGGATCTCCCAGGCAGCGCCAGGTCCCGAGGCAGTATTGACTGAGGTTAGGAGTTCAGGAAAACGGCCAGGAGGACAGAGGGCGCTGTCCCCTCTAGAACTGAGCAGGGCGTTAGATTTAGAGGAGGTGTTCGATTTACGCATGCGCACCCTCTCCGGGAAGACCTGGCAAGACCTGGCAAGACCCAGCCAAAATTGGCTCTCTCGGCTCGGTTTTTCCCCATCTAGGGCTACATCTTCTGGGTGCGCATGCGTCCTGCCCGGGTGCGGTTGGCTGATGATTCCGTCTGCCACTGGCAGAGCCAGCGCAGTGAGGCTGAGGCCCCGCTTCCCGCCCATTGGCAGGGGCGCGGAGAGTGGACTGGGGTCTTTGGCCGCACCCACTGCAGTGTTAGACGAGCGGATTGAGGACACTTCCCGGCCGCGGGCCGCAGGCTTGGAAGCGTTGGTTGGCCGAACCCATTGTCTCATTTGCCTTGTCACAGCAGGGAGGACGCCGGGGGAGAGGGGTGAGGGGACTGCTGCGTAGGGCGGCGGGACTGGCGCTGCATCCGAGCAGGGTCCGATGGCCAGTTGCCAATCAGCCATTTATTGAGCGTCTTCTGTGTGCCATACACTTAGGACTATGTGATTTCTGCCTTCGGGGATTTTACAGCATAGAGGAGATTAAACAAGTGACTTTATTGCCTTCCCTCGACCTCCCTTCTACCCCTTCGCCTTAGATGGAGATTTTCTCTTTCTGAACCCGGAACCGCTCCCTCCTCCCCGCCCGGCTATAGCTGGCAGGACAGGGATTGGATGCCACGGCCGGTGCGAGCCTTCGCTCTCCGCCGAGGGTAGTGACACAGGCGAGGACGGGCCCCGCAGGTCACATGAGGGCGGGGCCTGGCGGGCTCGTGACCTTCCCGTAGGCGGGGTCCCTCCCCTCCCAGCTCGGGCCGACAGCGTCGTCACCAGCTTTTATGGGGCACGTGGCGGCTGATGCACAGTAAATAGAAGTGACTCTCCCCTACGAAGGCGGGGACCGCACTTTATGAGACCAAACAAACTGCCCGAGCGAAGCCCTTGGAGCTCTAAATACTTGGCAGCAAGTACAAAGCAAAGGTGGCGGGGTGGAGGGGGTGACGGGGGGCGGGGGATTGTCAAATGTAAATCAGTCCGACTGGAAGCACTAACTCCTGAGCGCCCCCTCCCAGGCTGATCTGAACTAGACCTAGCAGGGAGAAGTGCAGGAGGCTGTAGGAGCTTCCTACTGCCTCCTTTTCCTCTTGGGCCTCTGGTTTACCAAGTGTGAAATAGGGCAGGGGAATGGACTTTGGATAGTGACACAGTGATTTAAGACAGCAAACAGAGTGCCAGGCGCCGTGGCTCACGCCTGTAATCCCAACACTTTGGGAGGCCAAGGAGGGCAGATCACGAGGTCAGGAGTTCGAGACCAGCCTGACCAACATGGTGAAACCCCGTCTCTACTAAAAATACAAAAATTAGCCAAGTGTGGTGGCACGCGCCTGTAATCCTAGCTACTCAGGAGGCTGAGGCAGGAGACTCGCTTGAACCCAGGAGGCAGAGGTTGCAGTGAGCCAAGATCGCACCACTGCACTCCAGCCTGGGTGACAGAGCGAGACTCTCAAAAAAAAAAAAAAAAAAAAAAAAAAGACTGCAAACAGATACGAGGGGCTGATATGAGGGGGCTGTATTGGCTCCAGTAGAAGTGAGCCATTCTGGGACCTGGGGTGGGGTCGCCCAAGTGTCCCTTTCACATATGCTGTTCTGAAACAAGTTTCCACAATCACAAGGCTGGAAAAGTTACTCAGCCCATAGGACTGAGGGGTGTGAGTCAGAAGAACATGAGCTACAGAGAAGTGGTCTGGCCTTCTTGGCTGGAACAAATACCACCCTTTGCCTCCTGCCTACCAAGAGCCACCTCTTTGGATACAGGAGCCCAGTGGGTGCTAATTCTTCTGTGCACCGATATCTGAGTCCAGAAAACTGGGACCCTAAGGATCTGTGCTGCTTCAGGAGCTGATCTTGCAGCTGAAAAGTAAAGGAGAAGCTGCAAAAAGTTATATGCTCTTGAGTATTATTTTAAAAAATCTATAGGGTTTGTAGTACTCCACAGTTTACAGAGTGCACTTTCACATGCATTATTTCATTTTAGCCCCACTGAACACATACTGTGTGCCAGGCATGGGGACAGATACAAACATGGACAAGGCAGTGCATTTTTTCTTTTTTTTTCCCCCAAGACAGAGTCTTGCTCTGTCACCCATGCTGGAGTGCAGTGGCACGATCTTGGCTTACTGCACCCTCTGCCTGCCGAGTTCAAGCTGTTCTCCTGCCTCAGCCTCCCGAGTAGCTGGGATTACAGGTGCGCACCACCACACCCGGCTAATTTTTGTTTTTTTTTTTTTTTTGAGGAGTCTTGCTCTGCTGCCTAGGCTGGAGTGCAGTGGCACGATCTCGGCTCACTGCAACCTCTGCCTCCCAGGTTAAAGCGATTCCCCTACCTCAGCCTCCCGAGTAGCTGGGACTACAGGCGCCCGCCACCACACCCGGCTAATTTTTTGTATTTTTAGTAGAGATGGGCTTTCACCACGTTGGTCAGGCTGGTCTTGAACTCCTGACCTCGTGATCAGCCCAGCTTGGCCTCCCAAAGTGTTGGGATTACAGGCTTGAGCCACTGCGCCTGGCCTAATTTTTGTATATTTAGTAGAGACGGGGTTTCACCATGTTAGCCAGGCTGGTCTTGAACTATGACCTCAGGTGATCCACCTGCCTCGGCCTCCCAAAGTGCTGGGATTACAGCTGTGAGCCACCGTGCCTGGCTGGCAGTGCATTTTTAAAAGGAGCTTCACTACGGTTGTAGAGAGAAAACAGAAACTGGTACCTACATTTCCAGGTAAAATGAGGTAGGTGCTATAAAGAAGGGTTAGATTCCTGGCCGGGTGCGGTGGCTCATTCCTGTAATCCCAGCACTTTGGGAGGCCGAGGAGGGCACATCACGAGGTCAGCAGATCGAGACCATCCTGGCTAACATGGTGAAACCCTGTCTCTACTAAAAATAGGAAAAATCAGCCGGGCGTGGGGGCGGGCGCCTATAGTCCCAGCTACTCGGGAGGCTGAGGTAGGGGAATCGCTTGAACCTGCGAGGCGGAGCTTGCAGTGAGCCTAGATCATGCCACTGCACTCCAGCCCGGGTGATACAGCGAGACTCCATCTTAAAAAAAAAAAAAAAAAGAGGGGGGCAGATTCCTGAGACACTTCATTGGAGGATACCACAGCCAGCTGGGCAGGACAAGGGAGGGAGAGAAATCAGGAAAAGTTTCATGATGGGAAAATTGTAGGAGTAAAACCTTAAAGATAGGAAGGGTTGCGAAAATAGAAATAGGCGTGGTAGAGCAGTTTTTTGCTAGACCTCTTCTTACCTAAACCAAGTAAATTCATTTATTTTCACGTCTTTGACTAGTAGCAGTAGTAAGTATTCTCTTCAGTATCTACAAAACTCATTTTTTCTCCATCCTTCTGTCTACGACTTCCTTGGGTGTAGGCTCTCACTATTTCTACTTGTAGAGCATCCTGACAGGCCACTTGCCTCCAATGCGGCATTCCTTTCCAGTTGATTTTCAGCATTACTGTCAGAGGGGAACTTTTACTGGCAGGAGCTTTCTGAAATGCAAGTTTGGTCAAATCCCTCCTCTACTTAAAATCTTTTGATGACCAAACATCTTCTGCAGAATAAAGTCCAAGTCTTGGCAATCAAGGCCCTTCATAACGGGGCCTCTGCCTACCTCTTCGGTTCTATGTGCTGTTCCTTTGACCTGCACCACAGTATTTGATTTCCTGAAGCCACCATAGTCTCTCCATACCTTATGTGTTATTCCTGCCATAAGGAATGTCTTCCTTACTCTCATTTGCCCAGGCGACTCCTATATGTCTTCAAAATCCAGCTCAAGCACCTCCTCTGAGAAGCCTCCTCTCATTTTCATTAGTTTGGATTTGGGTGTACCACATCTCTGATCCCAAAAGCCCACTTACATTCTTTCTATGTGACATTTAACACAGACTTAAGTATAAACTGTTGGTTAACTTATCTCTTGTGGCCATTAGACTGTGAATTGCCTAGAGGTAGGAGCTATCTCATTCCTGTGTCCCCAGTGCCTAACACAAGGTTTCACACAGTATGTTTGTTGGATTTCAGACAGATTATGGCGTGAGCCATACCACAAAGGATCTGTCAGGGAACTGATAGGGCTGTCTGGTCTGCCTAGAGTTCAAGGGATGCAGAGGGAGCCATAGGGACTAAGCCTGGAAAAGAGGTTGTGCTGGCTCTTTGAAGGCCTTGGGAGCAAGGCCAAGGAGTTAGGACTTTAGATGGTGGGCAGTGGAGAACCATGACATGTTAGATTATCAGAGCTGGGCCAAAGATGGGGAGGATGGATTGGAAACGGGGAAGGTGGGGGGTGAGAGAAAACAAGCAGCTATTAGCTCTGTTTTATAGAAACAGAGGCTTAAGAAGAATGTGACTACCCAAGACCACACAGCTGGTAAGGGGCAGAACTAGGAGTTGAACCAGTTAGTTCTGGACTATGCCAAGTTCAGAGATCCTTGTGCCACACTAACAAGGAGTATACAGTAGATCAGGCTTCAAGGTTGTCCAAGTGTGAGAGGGATACTTTATCAGTCAGGATAGGTTATATTGCAGACACAGTACTCAAAATCACTGTAGTTTAACAAAACAGAGTTACTATCTATTCACACAAAGTCCACTCGTGCTGGACAAAACCTTAGGGCAGCTTAGCCGTCTAGGCTGCTTTGATCTGCTAGCACTCCTCAACACGTGCTTCTGCAATTCCCACAACAGGGAAAGAGTGTTTGAAGAATCAGGCACTAGCTGCATTTCAGAAGGGACACACATTACTTCCCATTATAGGCTACTGCCCAGAACTAGCCCAATAACCCCACTTGACTATACAGGGACTGGGATGCACGGCCTTTTGTGTGTCCAGGAAGGGAAGAGAACAGGAAATATGTGTGGGCGAAACTAATGCCTACCCAAGACATCATGGAATGATGCCTATAAGGAAGGAGGTACAGGCCAGGCCAGTCTGAGGAACCAACAGCAGATGTGCAGAAGAGAGTGGTCCTCTCTTCATGGCTGTGGCTGAGCTACAGTGTACATTGTACCAGTGGGTTCTCACCTGTACCAATGTCTGCAGAATTTTGGGAACTACAAGGACAGAGGAGAGGATGGCCTCACTCAGATGGTGGTTGGCAAAAGGCCTCAGTTCTTTGCCATGTGGGCCTTTCCATAGAGCTGCTTAAGTGTCCCACAGTATGGGATCTGGCTTTCTCCAGGGCAAATGAGAGACAGAGAGAGGGAGAGAGAGAGAGAGACCATGACTTAGCGAGAGACAGAGAGTAGAGCCATGACTTAGCCTTGGAAGTCACATGCCATCACTCTGCCTTTTTTAATTGGACACACATACCAACCATGATTCACTGAGGGAGGGGACCACACAAGGGCATGAATACCAGGGAGGGATAATTGGAGGTCATCTTGGAAGCTGCTACAGGGGAGCAGGTAACCAACAGGGAGCCTCCTCTAGAGGGTGGTATCCTCTTAACCCCTTCCTGCTCAGCTCATCGTTCCTCTCTGCCTCTACTGAGGGAGAAGTGAGGGGAAGACTGCAATGACCGTATGAGGGAAGCAGGACCAGTACAGATGGTCATCGGCATTTTGCAGATGAGGAAACCCAAGGCATGAAGCCTGACTCCTGTGTGCTCCCACAACTAAGGCTAGCACCCACAGCCTTAACCATGCTTCATGGATTTTAGGCGTTCATAGGCCTGTCTCTGCCATCGTATATGGCCCCTCACACTCCGCGTTCGCCTCTGCAGCACCTGGGCTAGGTACAGAGAAGCAGCCACACCCTGTTCGGAGGAAGCCAAGCCGGATCTGCTTTCCTCCACAGCCGCTCCATCTGCCCCAGGGCACGGCTGTGCCAGGTATGAGGGAGGAGGCAGGGTTTTTTTTTTTTTTTTGAGACGGAGTTTCACTCCTGTTGCCTAGGCTGGAGTGCAATAGCACCATCTCGGCTCACCGCAACCTCCGCCTCCCAGGTTCAAGCAATTCTCCTGCCTCAGCCTCCCTAGTAGCCGGGATTATAGGCATGTGCCACCACGCCCGGCTAATTTTGTATTTTTAGTAGAGACGGGGTTTCTCCATGTTGGTCAGGTTGGTCTCGAACTCCCGACCTCAGGTGATCCCGAGGCCCGCCTTGGCCTCCCAAAGTGCTGGGATTACAGGCGTGAGACACCGCGCCCGGCCTTTTTTTTTTTTTTTTTTTTTTTTTGAGATGGAGTCTTGCTCTGTTACCCAGGCTGGAGTGCAATGGCATAATCTCGGCTCACTGCAACTTCTGCCTCCTGGGTTCAAGCGATTTTCCTGCCCCAGCCTCCCAGGTAGCGGGATTACAGATGCATGCCACCACGCCCAGCTAATTTGTGTATTTTTAGTAGAGATGGGGTTTCGCCGTGTTGGCCAAGCTGGTCTCAAACTCCTGACTTCAGGTGATCTGCCTGCTTCAGCCTCCCAAAGTGCTAGGATTACAGGCGTGAGCCACCGTGCCCGGCCAAGGAGGCAAGTTTAAGAGAAGACGACCCTGGCTGGAAGGCATGGCGGAGTGGGGTGGGGTGGTCCTGTGGGGTGTGTCAGGTGGGGAGAAAGAGGCTCCTTGGCACTGTTAAAGCACTTTGAAAGGGCAAGAGCGGCTTCCTCTGCTGGAGGGAAGCATGCTGTGAGGAGCACGAGGGTGGAATCCACCTGTGCCTAACATAGTGCCCGGGCAAGTCTCTGCTGAGGAAG
This sequence comes from Homo sapiens, assembly GCF_000001405.40. Classification (NCBI taxonomy): domain Eukaryota; kingdom Metazoa; phylum Chordata; class Mammalia; order Primates; family Hominidae; genus Homo; species Homo sapiens. Next base: position 21,934 of record NW_025791758.1, read on the forward strand.
GCTTTCAGCAGTCAAAGGTCCTCACCGTGCCAACTCCCACCCCCAACACCATTCTGGTTTGAACTCAACCTTGGGTGGCATTTCTATTTTTGTGTCCCAGAATCCCTCCTGAGGCTTCTAGCTGGGCAATCCCTCCTTAGTGTGGGCTGGGGCTGCCTCCTTCTGACAGAACACTTAGAAGAAATTCTCACCTGAAAACCCCACCTGAGACATGTGGAAGTGCCCCGCCCTGAAGGCCGCCCCCCATTCTTCCCTGCTGAGATGAAGCACTGCCTCTCACCCTGATGGGGCCACACCAGTCCTTCCTTCCCATCCTCGCGGCACCAAAGAAACCAAAACCCACGCCGAAGTATCAGAAACGTGTATTCTTTTTCTTTTAATAGTAAACCTCTTTACAACAAATATAGTGAAAGAGTTTTCAAACAAAACTCATAAGAATCTCGAGGACTTTGTCTTTTCTTATTGTGTAGAATACTAAGAAAGCATCACCATACAGCACGAAAAGAAATATTGAAAACAAATCAACAGCCTCACACTTGGACTCGCCCTGCCCCAGGACCCAGGAAGAGCCCCAGGAGTGTGGGTGATTGTCAGGTGTGGGGGTGGGGCACCTCCATGGCCCATCCTGCCCCTCCCTTCCTCTTCCTCACCACCTCCCTCCCTCTGGAGAATGGGGAAGAGGAGAGAATCCAGATTCTCCATTCCAGCCTCCCTCCCCCCATACAAATACCATTCCTTCTACCAACTGCTTTAAGGGGTGGGGAGAGGCAGCAGAGGGGAGAACAAGGAGTTCCCAGGCTCCATGTCTCCTCCCCTCCGCGAAAGCCTAAACTTACCCCTCACCCCACCCCAGGGGATTCCAAAGAGTCAGTTAAAAATATATAGAGATATAGATATTTCTAGATACACTTTTACATTTCTGTCTCTCCAAACAAATAAATAATCAGCAAGAGAAGGTGCATTACTTCCTTCCTGTCCAAGGTAGGGAGGGCTGGGAGGGGGTCAGGGGTCAGTCTTGCTGCACTGAGTGTGCTGTTGAGGGGGGGAGAATGGTGTGTTCCACTGAGGTGGTGGGGGGGGGTGTCCTCTTGCCCACTGTCCCTGAAAGCTGTGGGAAACCTGGGGAGGGGGAGGGCCATTAGATGACTCCAGTGGTTACTTTGGCAAATGCCCAGTTCTTCAGAGGGAGTGGGTGGAGGCGAATTTGGCTTGAGAGGAAGAAGACATTAAGTCCTCATCTGAGGTCTGGGTTCCCAGGGACCCATTCATCTGGCCGCCCAGGAGCCCCTACCCCCAAGAGAAACCTTCGGATACTGAACTGCAGAAATGTCACATATTCACAGACCACCCCATCCCCAGGGACAGAGAAGAAAGGACACTGAAACATCCACACATGGTAATCAAAAGCCAGGTTTGCCTTTATGAGGCAGAGGGCAAAACTGGTGAATATTGCACCGTGAATTGCAGGGGCCCTCACCCCCACCCCGTGTTTAATGGTGGCCAAGCCCAGCCTAGAAAGGTGGGCAGACTAATGGTGGGAATAGCCTGAGAAGGGAAGGCCATTCATTCATTTATTGAGCACCTATCATTCAACTATTCACCCATTCAGCATTTATTGAGTGCCTACTATGTGCCAGGCACTGGGCGAGGCTCTGGGGACGCATGCATGAACAAGATTACACCCTGGCTTCTTTCAAGCCCTGGATCGAGGCTCATCAGTTTTTGAAACTCCGTCTAGAAGCCTGCAGGAGAGGTGGGAAGGCTGGACGTGCTGTCCCCACCCAGTCAGCGGATTGGGGTTAAGAGTGAGTAAGTGATCACTGCTCAGCTGAGGGAGAAGCTTCACGGAGGAAGAGGGACTTGAGTTTTGCTCTGAAAGCAGGTCTGGGGTTGGGGGAAGAGGGTACTCCAGGAACTGTGTCAAGTGTGGGTGACTAAGTGGACATATGTGGGTGGAAGCAGAGGTCCCTGGAGGGAGAGACCTTGGCAGAGGTAGGGCTGCAGGGAGAAGCACAGAGGGCTAACTGCCAATCCCCCCAACTGCAGTTCAATGTGTCAGAGCTGAGGGTGAACACAGGGAAAGGAGCAGGGAAGACAGGAGTTGGGGTCCCAGGGCTGTGGAGCTGGAGCAGCCAACTCTCCCTTTGTAAACACACACCAGGCACACTCAGACACAGAGATGCCCCTAGAGCTCCAGTCACACAGATTTGCACACACACCCAGCCAGGGTCAGAGACACACAGAGGCACACCCGTGCAACCACACACACACATAAATACAAAAGTACACCCGTGCAATCAGACATACACACACACACACACATAAATACAAAGCTACACTCAGACACATAAACACCAGATGCCCTCATGAACACACTCAGGTACACGTGTGTACCTGCGTAGAGGCCCCTCTGCTTCTGGTTCCTTCCCTGCATCAAGTATGGGAATACTGCAAGAGGCTGGGTCATAGAGGTGGGCAAAGACGGTCGGCTAACACAAAACTGGGCCTTGTCTTAACTCTACTCTCCAACTGGGAGGAAACCCCAAGGGGGCGCCGCACCCCTTGGGCAGAGGAGCTGGGCTTGTGTGAAGGAGTGGGGCAGACAGTCTGCCTGGCCACGTCACCCCAGGCCAGGCCCCTTAGGGCGGGGGGTGATCCTAGAGAGCAGGCTGGGGGCCTGCCCCCTCTGGTTTGATCTCCAATCCTGCCTGAGGTCTCAGGACCCCGTGCTTCGGCTGCCCCTGGGCCCCTTGCCCACTGCCCCACTGAGGAGGCAGCAGGGAGGGGCGGACTCAGAGGAGGGGAGGGGAGCAAGAACAACAGCAGAAGAATCTCGTCTGTACAGTACGGGCCGTTTGAGTCATTATTATTACAATATACTTTGACAAAAATAGAATCTCATTTCATATCAATACAACAACAACAAAAAAAAACAGTTTCCTGGACTGTTACACCGCTAACGTTTTCCAAAGGTCGCTATTTACAATTACAGTAGCCAAGAGGGAAGGTGGGATGCAGCCTGGAGGTGGTGGGACAAGGAGGTAGCCAGAGACAATAGGGGCGCCAAGAGCAAGGAGGTGGGGTCAGGAGCAGAAGGAGCTAACAGGAGAAGCTAGGGAGAGGGGCCAAGGAGGAATGAGGGAGGTGGGACCTCTACGGACCCATCCGTAGGCCCTCCCACCCCACAGACCATCCCAGTGTTGACTCCCCCAGGTAGTGTGCGTGCAAGACCAAGGACGTCCCCTCACCACACTCGCCCCAATGAAAGAGCTCTGGCCTGGAGCACCCCAGGGAAGTCCAGGCCGACTCTCGCCCCAGCCACCTCACTGAAGACCCTCTCCCCATTCTCCCTGCACACTGTGGCCAGCTTTACAGGGCTGGCGTCAACTGAGGGGTGGGGAGCTATTGCACTGTATATCTTAGAGAAAAACTGGGGAAGGGAGGGGCTCAATTTGCCCCCTGCCTAGCCCTTCTGCCCTCCTCAGCCCTCTCCTCATGGCTCTCTTGTCTTTCCCTCCAAATGTGCTTCCAGAGAGGCCCCCACCTCAAACCCCTGTCTCCAGCCTCAGATTCCCAGGCTGCCTTCCCGGCCCAAAGCTCAGCCAGCACCCACACACCTTGGGGGTGCAGCACACACAAGAATCAGCGCAGGTGTGGCACGTGTGTGTGCAGGGGCATTTGGGGGCCAGGCTTAAGTATTCTGCTCCATGTGCCTATGGCTACATGAACACAAAAACAGAGACCCTTTTCAGAACCTCTGCCTCACTTTCCCCTTGAAACACAAACCCACCCATCAAGCCCACTTTGGGGTTTCAGTCTAGAGTGTGGGTTTCTGTTGTTTGGTAGTTTTTTGGTTATTTCCCTCTATCTGGGGGTGGGGTGGGAGGGCTCCACATGCAGGGCTCGGCACCTGTCCTTTCCCAAAGGCCTTATTGGGCCCCCCACCCCCTTCCTGCAGCATATGTGTACAACGTGCAAAGTGTCCCCCCTTCCCGCGAAAAAGAGAGCCCCCCAGCCAGTGAAAATGGTGGGGGGTACAGAAAGAGGGGATGAGAGCATCCCCCTCTCCAAAGCGAGAATCCAAATTAAAAAAAATATAATAATAATAATAATAATATAATAATTATACACAAATGTAACCGTCAACAGGACACGAAGCACAAGAAAGGAAGTGGGGGTCGAGCGGGAGGAGCCCGGGGCAGGGAAGGGCGGGCGGTGAGATTGTCAACTCTTCATCAGGGAGGCTGAGAGGAGGGGAGTGGGAATCGTCACTTTAATGTCTGTGAAGAGAGGAGATGGAGAAGGGGGTGTGAGGGGGTGGCCCAGGCTTTGGGTATGCACCCCCCACTCCCCTCTCCCCATAGGGCCAGGATTCTAGTGGCAGGGCCAGCTGTGAGGGGAAGAAGTCATCGAGCAGAAGGACTGATGCTGGAGGGAGGGAGAAGATGGGCCTTTGGCAGGGGTGAAGGGGTGTTGGTGCTGCCCTAGAAGGGCTGGCGGAAGGGGTAGCCGGCCACAAGGCCTCTTGGGTGGGAAATAAAACAGGTTAGGGGGCACGCGGGGCAGTCCCTGGGTGTAGCAGACACTGGCAGACAGGAGAGGTGATGCTACAGTACCCAGGTATCAAGCCGCATCCTCTTCACAGCTGAGCCCTCAGCCTCAGGCTCTGGGGCTGGGCGCAGCAGGCCCAGTGTGGGCCCGAAGTCCCCCCGTCCGTCATCCCGGTCTCCCGTCTCATAGGATCCCCCGGCTGGGCTGCTGAGACCATCGCCAGGCTCAGGGCGGGCAGCTGGGAACACAGCTGGAGGGGGAGGCGCAGGGCTGCGCTCACGGCTTGGGGACACCGGTTCTGACTTGATGCTGATGTGGGGGTGGGTGGTGACTGTGAGGGCAGCACCCACGTGGGGCAGGGGGCTGCCCGGGCTGGAGGCAGGCAATGGAAATGGGGTACAAGGGATAAAAACAGAGGGGGTGAGTGACAGAACAAGTGATAGGACACCAGACAGAAAGTGAGAGAGAACAAGAGGATGAGAATATGGGGGATGGGGTGTTGGGGAGAGGCAATTGGATGGAGAGTGATCAGAAGAGGGTCGAATGAAGGGAAGAGAAGGGAAATAAGAAATATTAGTTCTCTTTCCATCCCATGTCATCTTCTGCAACACAGGGCCCCCCACCTCCCACCCCCTACCCTGGGGCTGGCTCTCAGAAGGGGTTCAGGGTGAGCCTCTTGGGTCTGTACAAGAGAGCCCAGGGGTGCCACTGTTGCCTAACAGACTGTGCAGTGCACAGCCTCATAGGATGTCCACTAGAACCCTGCAGGGAACCCAGCTCCCAAGAGGTCCCTCCTCTTCCCGTTCAATTCTCCCTTCCCACACACTCACATGCAGTCTCCCCAGGACTCACATGAGGTTGCTGAGAGATACAGGGACCAGGTGGGACTGTTGCTGAGGTGGCTGTTGCGGCTGCTGAGGCTGCTGTGGCTGTGGCTGCTGTGGCTGCGGTGGCTGCTGCTGTGGAGGCTGTGGCTGCTGCGGCTGCTGGGGCTGCTGTGGCTGTTGCCAGGCAGTGACATTGCCTAGCGACAGCCCCCCAGGTGAACTAAAGGCTGGTAAGGAGGAGAGCTCTGCACTGGTCAACTGGTAATCTGCATGGAGGAAAAGTGAGGATGAACCTGGAGTTGGGGAGAGCACACAGGCTCCTATGAGGGAGCTGCCTCCAGGAGGACTGTGGGGATGAGGGGACAGGGAGTGTGTAATGACAGATGTAAGGAATTCAAGAAGACCACAAAAATTCAGTGAAGACGGTACTCAGAGTTAAAGAAACCTAAGTCATAATAACCATGAGGTGCTGTGTTTTAACAGGATGAAAAGATGTGGTTTTTGTTTTGTTTTGTTTTTTTGAGATGGAGTCTCACTCTATTGCCCAGGCTGGAGTGCAGTGGTGTGATCTTGGCTCACTACAACCTCTGCCTCCCACGTTCAAGCAAATCTCCTGCCTCGGCCTCCTAAATGGCTGGGATTACAGGCACATGCCACCACGCCCAGCTAATTTTTGTATTTTTAGTAGAGATGGGGTTTTGCTATGCTGGCAAGGCTGGTCTCAAACTCCTGACCTCAAGTGATTCGCCCACCTCGGCCTCCCAAAGTGCTGGGATTACAGGCATGAGCCACCGCATCCGACCAAGAGGTGGTTTTTAAAAATAGTGTTGAACTTAAAAAAAAAAAAAAAAACAGCTGGGCGAGTGGCTCATGTCTATAATCCCAGCACTTTGAGAGGTCAAGGCAGAAGGACCACTTGAGCCCAGAGTTTGAGACCAGACTGGGCAACATAAGGAGACTCCATCTCTACAAATAGCTTAAAAATTAGCTAGGGTGGTGGGGTGCACTGTAGTTCCAGTTATTCAGGGGGCTGAGGCAGGAGACTTGCTTGAACCTGGGAGGTTGAGGCTGCAGTGAGCTATGATCATGCCACTGCACTCCAGCCTGTGGGATCTTGTCTCAAAAAGAAAAAAAAAATCATGTGTAGGTATCACTTTCATAACAATTTAAAAAAATAAAAAGATGGAAACAGATAAGTAGAGAAGGTCTATGTCTTGGCCTCATGCCCAAGGGGCAGAGGGGCTGCAAGGGTACCATGCCGGGAGCACAGCTGGCCAAGGTTCCAGCAGATCTCCCCATGAGGGGGTGTTCATTACGTCATAAAATGTCTACCTTAAAGAAGAAACTGATGGTTGCACTGTCACAGAATAAATAGAATCACTGAATGTTTCATGATTTACACAGCACTATTGTTTCATGCTGTATCCTGTTTGGGACAGTTTAGAAAATGTCCTCCCTAGTTCAAGATTAGCCTGGCCAACATGGTGAAACCCCATCTCTATTAAAAATACAAAAAATTAGCCAGGCGGTGGCGCGCACCTGTAATCCCAGCTACTAGGGAGGTTGAGGCAGGAGAATTGCTTGAACCTGGGAGGTGGAGGCTGCAATGAGTGGAGATCGCACCACTGCACTCCAGCCTGGGCAACAGAGCGAGACTCTGTTTCAAAAAAAAAAAAAAGAAAGAAAGAAAGAAAGAAAATGTCCTCCCTGAGGCTGTACTGTGGTAGTGGGAGTGCTGTGATAGGGAACGCACCCCTCAATCATCCCAATACCCCACCAGTATGCTATTACTCAGGGAGTCATTTGCTCCAGCCCTTTGTTTTTATGCAGGGAAGACAGTATTATCTCTGCAATATAGCAATAAGGTTAAAGGCATGAGCTATGAGGTCAAACTTCCAGGCTACCTCCACTTAGGCCATGTGACCTTGGGTAAGTTACTTACTCTGCCTATAAACTGGAGGTAATAATCCTACCTACATCACACAGCTGTTGTGAGGACTGAGCAAGTTAATACACAAAAAGCATGTAGAACAGTATCTGGTTCATAGAAAATAATCAAAAGATTTATCTATTATTACTTTACAAATGAGGCAACTGCAGCCTCAAGTTTGAGGAACAGGCTCCAAGTCATGGAGAAAGCCAGCGGCAGAGCTAAGACAGGACCCCAGGACTCTATTACCTTTAAATCTCTCTAGAGGGGGATCTGTGCTTGGCTCTAGTCTCCTAACGTTGGTCAGGAGTTTTGAAATGCTTATTAAAAAAGCAGAGCAAGGGCAGAAACGGGCCCTAGGATCAACTATTTCTTTTCTTTTCTTTTTTGAGACAGAGTCTCGCTCTGTTGCCCAGACTGGAGTGCAGTGGTGCGATCTCCACTCATTGCAGCCTCCACCTCCCAGGTTCAAGCAATTCTCCTGCCTCAACCTCCTGAGTAGCTGGCGTGATCTCGGCTCACCGCAACCTCTGCCTCCCAGGTTCAAGCGCTTTTCCTACCTCAGCTTCCCGAGTAGCTGGGATTATAGGCGCACACCATCACGCCCAGCTAATTTTTGTATTTTTAGTAGAGACGGGGTTTTACCACGTTGGTCAGGCTGGTCTTGAACTCCTGACCTCGTGATCTGCCCACCCTGGCCTCCCAATATGCTGGGATTACAGGTGTGAGCCACCGCGCCCGGCCAGAATCAACTATTTCTAACACTTGTACAAACTAGGAAGCCAAGCCCAGAACAGTACAGTGCCTTGCCCAAGGCCCCTCAGTGAGTGAGTGATGGAGACTAGCTCCCAGCCCTGCACTGTTCCACCAGATTCCAGCCCTATCTACTACTGGGAGGCTTGGCTCCCCAAGGAGGACCATGGCCCAAGGCCACCTGGCAGCCTACTGGTCTGCTCCCAGAGCCACCACAGCCAGGCCTCTGCGGCCAGTGTCAACAAGGGGCCAGGCCCTCACATGAGGCATTACCATAGCCCGATTACCCCCAGCCGGAACTTGAACTGCAGCCAAGGACTGTAAACAGTGAACAACTAAACAGCAATGTGTTCACTGGGGTTTTGTTTACACACCTAGGGTCACCTGAAAACACCTGCTGTTTAAACTGAGATCTGCTTAGCTGCTCCTGTAACAAGAGGAAAGGGAGCCTGTGGTCTCTGAGAGGAGATGAGAAATCTCACACACTTCCCAGCAGGGCTCCAAGGGCGGCCCAGGGGCAGAAACTGCTTTCATGCCAGAGTGACAGATGAGAATCTTTAAGTCTAGCCTTCCTGAGTGCCTGTCCCAGGTTGGCTGACACCAACTAACTTTCCTCCTGCTTCACAAAAGACTGTGGGCCCAACAAGATGGCAGAAAAACAGAAAACCACCCTCACAGAGTACCTGATAAACAGCTCCAGAAAAGTGGTCTAAAAAGTGGTCTGAGCTGCCCTCCGCCAACTGTCCCTGTCCCCAGGCCACCCCACCCTCAGGGCTGGTTTTTCTGGTTGGGCCCCAGAGGCCCAGTGGCAGGGCTGGAAAAGCCTCATAGACCTCCTGTCTACCCACTCCTCTTACAGATGGGGAGACGGGCCCACAGCGTGTGTCTTCTGAAGCAGCCATCTGTGAAGTTGCCAGGACATCGTAGCCTGGGGCTGGGCACACACATGGGTGCACATGCAAGGGAGAAGGGGCTCAAAGACACCTGGGTGGTAACTACACACAGACACACAAGCCAGAGTCTGGTCCCTCAACATGAGGCGGTCCCTCCAGCTCTCTTAACCTGCCACGAGGGGCTTTCCTACACAGAGGGCTGGGTTCTGGATTTTTCTTTTTTTTCCCTTTTTTTGAGACAAAAGTCTCGCTCTGTTGCCCAGGCTGGAGTGCAGTGGTGCAACCTCGGCTCACCGCAACCTCCACCTCCCAGGTTCAAGCAATTCTCCTGCCTCAGCCTCCCAAGTAGCTGGGACTACAGGCGTGTGCCACCACGCCCGGCTAATTTTTTTTTTTTTTGAGATGGAGTCTCACTGTTGCCCAGGCTGGAGTGCAGTGGCGTGATCTTGGCTCACTGCAACCTCTGCCTCCCAAGTTCAAGTGATTCTCCTGCCTCAGCCTCCCGAGTAGCTGGGATTACAGGCACATGCCACTACATCCCGCTTAATTTTCTGTATTTTTAGTAGAGACAGGGTTTCACTGTGTTAGCCAGGATGGTCTCGATCTCCTGACCTCGTGATCCGCCTGCCTCGGCCTCCCAAAGTGCTGAGATTACAGGCGTGAGCCATTGCGCCCAGCCTTTTTATGTTTGAACTTTTTTTTTTTTGAGAGGGAGTCTCGCTCTGTCACCAGGCTGAAGTGCAGTGGTGCAATCTCGGCTCATGGCAACCTCTGCCTCCCGGATTCAAGTGATTCTCCTGCCTCTGCCTCCAGAGCAGCTGGGACTACAGGTACGTGCCACTACACCCAGTTGATTTTTGTATTTTTAGTAGAGATGGGGTTTCACCATGTGGCTAGGATGGTCTCGATCTCTTGACCTCGTGATCCTCCTGCCTCAGCCTCCCAAAGTGCTGGGATTACAGATGTGAGCCACCACGCCTGGCCTGGGTTCTGGATTTTTACATGTGGGGAGGAGGTGGGATTTTGTGGTTATTTGCACTGGTGGCTGGTTCAACTCTGGGAGGCTTGGGGAAGGGGGAGAAGTTTATGAGTCTTTTGGTCCAGACTAAACTCATCAAAGGAACTGGCCTGACATAACCATTCACATGTGAGAGAACCTGAGGAAGGCAGAGGTCTCTAGCTGGAAATAGCCCAGGTTCCCCAGCCACATGAATGCTCTGAAACAAGGGGACAAGGCGTTTCCTTACTGGCAAGTCCTTCTTGACACAGTGGCTTAGCATACAGGCAAGGATGGCTGAGAGTATCACAGACTGTTCCTGCGCAGGTGTGAGTGGGTGGGTGACACAGGCCAGGATGGCCCTAGGGACCCAGGACAGCCCGCGCACTGGGTGTCCTATCTGAATTCTTCTATCCAGAGACCTTTCTCATGTCCTTAAGTGGCTCTTTACCTTCAGATCCCCTCTCTAACCTTCTTCCCTCTTCTTCCTTCCCCAATCATCATTCCACCACCATGCCAAAACTAGAGGAGAGACGCTGTTCTTCCCCCTCCGCCTTGCCCTGGAGCCCCCATTTGGCTTTCCCAGGAAGCTAGCAAACTGACCCTGACTGTGCTTTCTCTCTGGCCTCCTCAGCCTCCTTGTCTCTTTTCTCTTATTCCTTCATTCTCTTCCAGGAAGCTTTTCTGAACTGACCACGTCCCCCTCACCACTCCCCATACCTGCAGCCTAGAGATTGGTCAGCCTGAATGATCTGCAGACCTGCCTCTGTCCTGTCTCGTCCTCAGGCTGCAGGCTTTCTGAGGACAGGGGCTCCCTCCTCCATTAAGTACTTTTTAAAAAATAAACAATGCTGGCCAGGCACAGTGGCTCATGCCTGTAATCCCAGCACTTTGGTGGATCACTTGAACTCAGGAGTTTGAGACCAGCCCAGGCAACATGGCAAAAACCTATCTCTACTAAAGATACAAAAATTAGCTGGGCATGGTGGCGCATGCCTGTAATCCCAGCTACTCAGGAGGCTGAGGCATGAGAATCACCTGAACCCAGGAAGAAGAGGTTGCAGTGAGCCAAGGTCATAACACTGCACTCCAACCTAGGTGACAAGAGTGAGACTACCTCAAAAAAACAAAAACAACAAAAACCAATGCCTAGTTAAATTTGAATTTCAGATGAAACAATACATAATTTGTTAGCATGAGTATGTCTTTGGTGCTGGGCACAGTCGGTAACACAGCACTTTGGGAGACTGAGGCAGGAGGACTGCTTGAGACCAGGAATTTGAGACTAGCCTGGGCAACAGAGAGACCTTGTCTGTACAAAAAAAATGTAAAAAGAGCCAGGCATGAAGGCATGTGCCTGTAGTCCCAGCTACTCAGGAGGCTGAGGCAGGAGGATCACTTGAGCCCAGGAGTTCAAGGCTGTAGTGAGCTAGGATGGCACCACTGTACTCCAGTCTGGGTGACAGAGTGAAACCCTGTTCCAAAAAAGAAAAAAAAAACAAACCCAAAAATAAAATATGTCTTTGGGACATACATTAGCAGAAGAATGTCTTTGGGACATATCTGTACTAAAAAACTACTTGTTTTATCTGAAATTCAAATTTAAAAGCATTCTGTGCTTTTATTTGCTAAACCTGTTAACCATAAGTAGGTGGGGGTTCCCCCAAATCAGTAGCCCTCCTCAGATGTGGCCTGTCCAGGGGATAACTAGCATTTCTGTCTGGTCACTTGCCTGCCCCAAGCCCAAGTGCACACATGCACATGTCACATGAACACTCACCTGTGTTGTAGGCAGTGGGCATGGAAGAGAAGGGGAGGCCCTGGCTGAGTAAACTCGGCGTTGCCACAGAAACCACTGGGGTGGTGAGCGAATGAGTAGACTGGGAGACCCCAAGGCGCTGGGCATTGTTCTGTAGGAGAAAACTGTCCGTCAGGAGGTGGCTGACAGGTGGGCAGCTTTATGTTGGCCCTCCATCCCAAGGCCAAGGTGGGGTTCCTGAATCCCAAAGCCAAGGCGGGGTGCCTTAGCACGGAGGCCCCCACAGATATACAAACACACGTTGGTGCATTCACAGAGACACTCAGATCCATGGAGGGAAACATGCACACACAGATTCACTGACACCAACACACGTGCAAAGATGAAGGCACGTGTACTGGCCCTGTGGCCCCAGCACCAACACTCGCCCAGCCTCCCAGTGCAGAGTGAGGGAAGGGAGACATCGTCCATCCCCTGTCTCTCTGGAGCCCACTCTCCATCCATCACACTGCAGCACACGCCCCGGCAGAGGCGTGCTGGCATCTGCGAGGGGAATGTGGGGCCTGGCGTGGCGTGTGCCTGCGCGTATGCACACACGTGTGTGGGGCTGTCAGCTCCATCTGCCGCTGAGTCACTTGTTTATTCCAACTCCATGCTGGGGCCGAAACTGCCGCCGTGTTGGCCGCCAAAGCCTGCCTGCCTTTTCCAGCCTCTCTGGCCTCCCGTCAGGGAGTTAGGGAGGGAGGAGCCCCCGCCCCACTCCTGGCTGGGGGTGAGTATGTAAGTGTGTGAGACAGAGGAGGAAAATGAGCAGCTGTGCATGCCTCTGAGTGCCCGTGTCATGGACTTAAGTTCAGGAGGGAGCACAGGGAGACAGGGGAGGTGGGAAGCTGCCACCAAGAAGGACAAGTCCAGCCTGGGCCTGGGCCTTGGCTTCCCCTGAAACACCAGCTTCTCCTTCCAGCTGACCTCCCTCCTAAGAAGGATCCTGTCCTGGATCCCAAGAATGCAGTGTGGGCCTGAGTGGAGTCAGAGGACTAGTGGGATCCAGCCCCCTAGTCCAGGGCCTAGTCCAGGCATCAGGGTGGGACCTCTGAGCCCTGGGCTGGCCCACTCCCCCTCGCACACGTACATACAGAGAAAGGTGTGTCTGAATGAACATAATACCACATGCAGACATTCATGTACACACAGGCACACACACACACGTCTGACCTCTCACCCCCACCCCATTCACCTTTGAATCCCACTTGGCACCTAAGCACAGCTCCTGGCAACTAAGCAAAGAAACAGCAACAGTTCACGCACAGGCGAGAGGCCAAGGACGCACACGTACTTCATGCTGGGGGACCGCAGAGCAATACCCAGAATTCAAAGCCACAGCAAAGAGCTCACAGCCTCACTTACCAGATCTAAATGGTCCTCAGTCTGAGAGCAGAAATAAAACCAAGGGGATGTTCAGTCTCTGGCCGCTGCCCTCCCCCACACCTCTGTCCCCACAGCTGTTCCAGTCACCTCTCTGCATAAGAGTAGGGTGGCTCTACCCAGCCTACAAAGGCAGAGCTCTCCACCGTCCTGACTCATTTCCAGAGATGCTCCATCCCAATCTCCACCAGTGAGGAAATGCTCACCATCTAATCCCCATCCCTCCTGCTATAGTGGCAAATCCTTTCTATGATCCTCCCCACCACTTCTCTCTCACCTCCTGCCCCTTTTTACTGCCTTAGGCTGGTACTTCTTGTGCTGCAACCTCTTAAAAGGCCCTCTGGGAAGAAAAATCTCATAAAAAGCCATGGTTCCAAGATTTATCTTGGGAAGTCCTAACTGCTGGCTAGCCTTCATCTCTCCTGCTAGAGGTCTGCTCTTTCCCCTGTCCCTACTCTTCCATTCCCCAGCCCCCACCCTTGGCCCAGACACCCACTTACCAAGTGATGCATTAACCCCTTTCCTGCCTGGGAAGTGATGACTCGCAGGTCGGGCTTGCGGCTGGGGGCTCCAAGCTGGGTGCTGTGGGTAGGTGGGGGTGGAGACTTGGCAGGGATGACCTTGTTTAGGCTGTTGCCATTGGCCACAGGGAGGAGGCCAGGGGAAGCCCGAGCACTGACGTAGCCATTCCCTGGAGAAGTGACAACAAGAGGGTAAAAGGAAAAACATGGGCCTATCCTTCAGCCCTATTAACTTCCCCACACCAATACTCCTGTTACCCGGAACCTCTCAAAGCCATGCTTAGGCTTTGAGTGGGGGCTGAGCTATCTGATATTCCCTGAACACTTCATGTCTTGAGAATAATGGGAGGCAAGTACCCCTTACTCCTGAATCTTTAGGTTCGTTCCCCTAACTCCAAGCTACATGTGATAGGGCTTGGTGATGGGACTCTGAAGTCAGTGGGAAGAACTGGAAAGCAGCCATTGCCTCTAGGCTCTGCGACGGCCAAGAGGTTCTTCTGTACCCAAGCCTCTCCCTGTCTTCTCTCTACTTTAGTCTCCACAGACAGGAAGTCCAGCATTTTTAGGTCCCACAGTCTACCCCGGACAGGACCCACCATGACCAGGATGTGGAAGGGGTGGCAGCCTGGAATCCGGGCCTCACTGAGAAGCCTGGTCACCATGACAAACCAACAACCACTCAGACTGCTCCATTTGCCGTGAGCTGGGGGTGGATGATGTGATTTGGATCAACATGTGACAAGTTGCCCACAGCTTGGGAGAAACAAGCCATTCACTGTTGGTGATGGTGTTATTGGCACTGGGAGACACATAACACAGCCACCACCATAATTAGCCTGGTAATAACAAATGTAATAACTATCTTTTATATCTGCTCCATATTCTACAATCCACACAGGCCTTTCACACATGTATTATCTTATTTAATCCTCACATTAACTCTGCAAGACAGACAGGACATTAGCCCTGTTCACAGAAGAGGAAACTAGAGCCTGCTTGGGAGAAGTGTAATGACCTGCCCAGGGCCACACAGCTGGCTGGAGGCCAAGTGAGGGCTCTCTCCCACTTTCCACATGCTGGACTCAAGGGCCTCTATGGATCACTGCTCACTTGAGGTCTACAAGCATTTCTCTGGCCTTCTCCTTGAAGAGGGTGACATATTCACCCACCCCTTTAATTTCCTGACCCTGTGACATAATTATCACCAGGGAGGTATTATACAGTGCCCCAAAACTGAGCTGGGGGATGCTGAGGTCCAAGGATGTGAGAGTGACCACAGTCAGAAATGCTTCCTTGCTCTGTCCCCTAAGAGCATGCTGTTGCCCTGGAAGTGTGTGCCTGCCTCCATCCCAATTCCCGGACCACTCTGGGAATGGCAGGAATGTCAGGGTGACGTCAATCGTGACATTCGAAGTCACAGTCACCCAGCCAGACAATGGCACAGGGTAGGAGGGGCTGTCCGCTGCCAGGGGTTGGGGGGCAGCCTTTCTTCTGTGGCTTATTTTTTTATTTTTTGAGACGGAGTTTCGCTCCTGTTGCCCGGGCTGGAGTGCAATGGCATGATCTCAGTTCACCACAACCTCTGCCTCCTGAGTTTAAGCGATTCTCCTGCCTCAGCCTCCTGAGTAGCTGGGACTACAGGCATGAGCCACCACACCCGGCTAATTTTGTATTTTTAGTAGAGATGGGGTTTCTCCATGTTTGTCAGGCTGGTCTCAAACTCCCGACCTCAGGTGATCCGCCCATCTCAGCCTCCCAAAGTGCTGGGTTTACAGGCGTGAGCCACCATGCCCGGCCTCTTCTGTGGCTTATGTATGTGTGCTCACAAATGCACATCTAACATCTGGATACTTCTGTAAGAGGGAGAATGCACTTATGTGTGTTGAGTGCCTGCGTGAGTGTCTATGTGAGTCTGTCCCTGTTGTTTGTCTAGGGAACGCCCGGCATTCTCATCCTCCAGATCCCAACCACACTCAACTGCAAAAACTTGGGTCTTCCCTTCCAACTAGAAATGCTGGCCCATTCTCACAGTTTGCCCAGAATTCCCTGAGCCTCCATCTCTGCTGATCATCTACACCAATCATTGCTACAGAAAACAAAATCCAGGGGCTTAAAAATCTCTGACTGACTCTTCATCCAGTCCTGGCCCTGGGATCTTCCTCTCCTCTCATCTAGGTCGTTCCTGATCCTTGGACCCCCTGAGGCCACTGAGCGGGCACCCCTCCCCACCTCCAGGTAGAAGGATGACTGCACTCACCAACAGGGCTGGGGCAGGCTCCGTTAGCACTGTTCAGGTCACCCCCCAGCATGGCCCCTGGAGGAAAAACAGAACCAGGATGAGCTGACAACACTCCCGCTTCAAGAGTGAGTCTTGGGGACTGAACATGAAGAGGGGACCCCAGGAGGAAGAGTCATACTCCCTTCCCTCAGGAGCCATACAAATGGCGGAATGCTGTGGTGGGTGAAGAGAAATACTTGCTGTTGAAAATGGAATCCCAAAGTCCCCATCACATCTCATTTCCACCTCACCTACCCACCTGCCAGCCCACTCACCCGCACTAGCTGGCCGCTGGGGCAGGCCAGGAGACACACTGTTCCTCTGTAGTGCTGGCTGCTGGGGGGACAGGAGCCGCGGGTCCGTGAGGGATGATGTCACCAGGGAAGGGGTGACCAGGGAGCCGCTGGGATTGCTGAACTGCAGTGAGCTCTGATTGGACACGGGCACCGTGACAGGCATGGCAAAGTTGGGGGCCGGGACAGTTGACTAGACAGAAAGATGGAGGGGCAGGATCAGGCCAGGTTGACCCCTTCCATGGAGTCCACTTTTCCTGGGAGGGCAGGCAAGGGTTCTTCTCATTTCTGGGCTACGCATCCTAGGGCCAGCAGTTCAAGCTCCCTGCCCTGTGCCCTTGTGGAGTCCTGCCTGCCAGTCCCACCAAGGAAGAACTTTGGGGAGAAACTCTGGGTCCATACTCTGGGTCCATTTCTGGCCCACAGAATGAGAACAAGGCTCTGCTCACTGCAGACAGGACCAGGGACACCCCCTAGTGGAGGTGGGTTAGTCCTCAGCCAGGCAGGACACACGGGGAGCAGGTTAGAGGCCCTGATAACAGACTCAAATTCACACACGGCTGTTAAAGGCTTGCACCACGGGTAGGGACATCATTTCACTTGCAGTCTCCACCCATCTGGCCTGCTGCAGAGAGAGCTCACCCCCACCTCGCTGCCTTCCCCTTCAGCAGTTCTGCTTTCCCTACACAAGGCTGAGTGTCTCTGGTTGGGCTATCAGAGCAAGCCCAAGCAGGCCTCTCCCCCCAAAAAAACATCTGGACAAAGAGCACACTCCACTTTGCTGTCCTCTAAGGATCTCATGTCATCTACACACTTCTTGCTGGAGAGGGGGACACTCCAGGCCTCTCCAACTTATGCTCCATCCCAGTAGAGTCTCAGCAGGGATGCGGGTTTATCATGACCAAGGTCAGAGGTTCCTCAGTGGTCACTAAGAACCCGAGCATGGCTCAGAGCGGAGCACCCATCAGGGCAGCCGAGAGCCAGGGCGCGAAGCCACACCATGCACCACAGGGAGGCTCTGCTCCATGCGACTACTCACGGCCAGTCTATAACTCTGCATCATTTTATCAAACTCCTCGTCTATCTTTTTATATTTCTCTTCCGTCTGGGGGGTCAGGGCAAACACCTCGTCCACCTCAGGGCTCTCACATTCCCTGTGCTTCTTGTGCAGCGCCTGGGGGGAAGGGGCCGGAAGGGGGGGCCAACAGAGACAGAGTGAGTGGGGCTCACCCCATAGCGCCGGAAGAGCCCGTCGAGCTCCTCGCTGGCGCGTCGGTACTTGTCCTCCAGCAGGGGGCTCTGTTCCAGCGAGTCCTCCCCGTCGGGCTCGGGGCTGTCGCAGCCGTTGAAGCCCTTCTTCCTCAGGGTCTGTAACCGCACCACTGCCATCAGCTGGGTGAGAGTCCTTCCCGCCCGCCTCGCTGGAGTTCCTTCCAGCCCCTCCCTAAGGGCCCCCTACTCTTCCCCGACCTCCTTCTTCAGGGTTCCCAGCATCTCCCTGGCCCCTCCCCACTGACAGTGCCTCCTGGGGCATCGTGTGAAGATCTGAAGATGGGCTTGGTGGGAGCTGTCGGAACACAGAGAACAAGGCTGGAAGGTGAGCCTAACCTGGGGGTGCACTTGGCAGGGAGACATGTACTTCCAAAGTGACAGGCAGGGAAGGGGCTTCCAGGGGATGGGGCCTCCAGGGGATGGGCTAAGGAGCTGGTGCCATGGATCAGTCCCTGCCCGACCACCCTGTGGTAAGCCCTGACCAGAAGGCACTGAGTTCTCCAGGGGGAGGTAGGCAGGGGGGCTCTGCTCCCAGTCCCTGGGCTCTGCTTAGGAGAATAGGAGGAAGAGAGAAATAGAGATGGAGACAGAGAGAGCGGGGAATGGGATGTGGAAAAGGAAAGGGGGATGAACACTGACTGAGTCCCTACTGTGACCACCCTACATTCTAGTGGAGGCACATCTGGGGGATCTGCAGTAGACCCCAAAGCTGCCCTCTTCATGCTCAAAATAGCTTTACAGATACTTGCTTTGTCTTTAAAATGAATGCAAATTTTACCTTCTAGTCTAGAGTAAATCTGTCTTCTCTAACATAAAAATAAGGGACTTTCCTCCAAATCTCTGAGTAGGCCTGTGGCTTCCCGGGCACCCTCTTCGTCAGCACAAGTTCTGTATCCCCAAGGTGCACGCACCTCAGTGTGAGAAGCAGGGACATTCAATTCACACAGCACCCTTCAAAGCAGGCACTGACCCCATTTTGTGGAGGTGGGCACCAAGGCTCGGGAAAGCCTAAGCACCTGCCCAAGGCCATGTGGCCGGTAAAGGTCAGAACTGAATTCCAAAGCTCATGTCCTTCAACAGTTCACAATGTTGGCTCTCTTTGAAACAGAAAATAGAACTACCGGGCCCACAAACAGACAGAGACAGCAGGAGAGATGGAAACAAAGAGGGAGATTTAAAAAAGGAAGAGGCAGGTGCAGGAGCACACCAGAAGATGGAGAAGCGGGGAAAGAGAGACAAAGAGAAAGACAGGATGCAAGAAGGCAGGATAGAGATGTTACATCACACTGGACGACAGCAGACTCTTGGAGAGGGCAGGGTGGGTGTGGGCTGGCAGCCTGGCACTGGCCTGTTCACTTGAACTGCCCTTCCTTCCTCCTCAGACCCTGGGTTTGTATGACAGAAGGAGGGTTTGCATGTGTGTGCGCACAGGTGAGGGGCTACAAGGGGCATGTATACCAGTGTGTGTGCATAGGCAGGTCTGCGTGTACATGCAACGTGGGCACGTGTCCATGTGGATGCAGGCGGGGGTATATCCTGGTGCCTGTGTGTATGGGCCCACCTCGATGATGTCGGCGTTGGTGCGGCTCTCGTGTGGCTCATTGTACTCCGTGTACTTGAGCAGCACCTTGTCCATGTCGGTGCTGGCGTACTGGAACAGCTTGTTGGAGTGGTTGAAGATGATGAGTGCGATCTCGCAGTCACATAGCACGCTCAGCTCATACGCCTTCTTCATCAGGCCAAACTTCCGCTTGGTGAAAGTCACCTGCAGAGAAGGATGGGTGGGCGGCCAGATCTGGCTCAGTTAAGGCCTGATTGGGAGTCCCAGCCTACAGATGGCTGGACATAGCCCCTGCCCTCAGGAGCCCCCATTCTCAGTGTGACACAGCCCCTGGTCTCAGGAGTCCCTGGTTTGGGGAAGGACCAGGCTAGTGCCTGTAGGCCAACACACAGCTTAGATACAGCCCAGAGCCCACTCACTGAAGGGGCAGGATTCAGGTGGACAGAACTCCACACCTCTGTGCTGGAGGCTATGAAGAGGTCAGTGGAGAAGAAGAGGGAGAGGATTCCTGTTGGGAAAGGAGGAGTGCCTGGGGGTATGACCTAAGGCTTGCAAATGGCTCTGGGATGGGAACATGGGCTCATCTAGCTGTGGCAGCAGAAGAGTCCTGGAGTCCAGGGACGCAGAGCTCCAAGAGCTGCGAAGAGGTTGGGGTTCCTCTTCTCCCAATCTCCCTTCCCCTTCTGTAATAGCTTATAGTTTCCCCTCTTCCACAAAGCCCTCTTGGAATGCCTGAAGGGAGTAGAGGCAGAGGCCTGCTCCCTGCCCTCACCCACTTCGTACGGCTCTAGGACTTCCCTACCTGTCGGTTCCGCTCGTCGGTGATTCGCTGGATCTGAATCTTTTTCCTCCCCATCTTCTCCGGGGGTCCTCAGTGCTACGGAGGGGAGGGGCTCGCTGGGTGGTGGGTCTCGGCACACCTTACACTGTGCTCATGAACGGTCTGGGAACAGTGCTCAGTTCATGGTCTGCAGGATACCTTCTGCACAGCCTCCTGGAAAGGGAGGGTCATGAGAGGTCTCTGAGCCCCCAAAACCCCCAGCCCTGCTCCCTGGGCACACAGGCCAGACTCACAGCGCCCCTGTGAGAGGCTGGCAGCATCTGAGCTCCACCCTCAACATGAGGCAATGCTGTCTGCCTGAGGCAATGGTATGCCACAGCCAGGCACAAGCTGGAGCTCACACCAAGGCCCAGACTCTTTCCCCTCGGTCACTGCTGTCCTCAGGCTCCAGGACAGAGTAAATGGACCTCCTGGCTTCCAAGGTCTGGGTCTCAGAGAATATCCCATGGCCCATTCTTCTCTCTAGAACCTGCTTGTACTATAGACACCTGGGTGCTCCAGCTGCTCCTCTGGCCTAGAACTATGGTTCCCATTCTGAAGCTTGGAGAAGAGACAACGCTGAGAGGACATCTGCCCAGTCAGTGAACAACAAGCATGGTATACCTGGTGCCAGGATGGGATGTCTCTGGTGCCCCTGGCTCAAGAACATACCAGAGCAGGTCTAGAGCAGTGGGCCTCATACCGACTCATGGAACTCTGGGGCCTGGAGTCCTGTAGTGGGGCTTGGGGTTGTAGCACCCACATCTCCCTTCAACTAGAGTTCCTCCACACTAATCTGTTTTACTCAGTGAGCTTAAGCCTAAGGTTTCTTTTTATTTTTATAAGCCTAGTCAAGTGCAGTAGTGAGAAGAGAAGAAAGAGTAGAACAAGGAGTTCGATCTGTAACTGACTGTGAACAATCAATTGAGCTAACTCACTACCTTTGGACATGCCCAGCCTAAGATTTTTGTTTGAGGAAAGAGTTGTGCTGCTTAAAACAATGAAACCATTCCTCTAGACCAGGAGATGGAAATTTTTGGGCCAGATAGTAATATTTCAGGCTTTGCAGACCATACAGTCTCTGTTGTAACTACTCAACTCTGTCACTGTACCATGAAAGCAACAGACAGCAACACATAAACGAATGAGTGTAAGCATGGCTGTGATCCAATACAACTATATTTACAAAAATGGGCATGGGCCAGATTTGGTCCACGGGCCATAGTTTGCTGATTCCTGCCCTAGAGGTATGGACCACATCTAGAACCCAAGCTCAGTCTAAGAGTAGTGCTTCCCAACCTTGTACATCTTGAAGCAGACAGAGAAAATACAGGAACAAATGACATACACTGGGGAGGCCACTGGCAGCCAGGCGGATGCAGGCACCAGGCAGAGAACCTGCTGTCTCAGGACACCTGTAACCCCCTCACAGCCCACTAGTTGAACAGCTCCATGCTAAAGCCAGGATGAGAAACAGCCCCTGCACTGAACAACTCCAGGAGGCACCATAGGATAAGAGGGGGCTCAAGGATGGCAGCACAGCCTGGGCCAGAAAAGGCGCATTCTCTCCGGTATGGGCAGTGCCTACATAGGCTGGGTGAGTCCTTGGGGACTGGAAGGGCCCAAGATGGGACGGAGGCACGGAATGACTTCAGGGCCCCCTCTAGCTCTGATTCCAGGAGTCCTTGCATCAAAAGTGGAGCTTTCTGGAAGATGTTGGAAGAGGATAGTGAACTGGGGCCCATGCTTTCTAAAGCCACTCTATTTGGGTCCTGGGAGGAGCCTGGACCAGAGAAGGCCCGCCCTCCCCTCCAGAGCTCCCCTTCCATAGAGCCCCATGCCCAGAGACCCTACTGTAGAGTCTAGGGATGTAGACCCCCAGCCACTGTCTGATCCTCTGCACCCACTGCACACTACCTGGGGAGAGGTGTTTGATGACAGAGAACAACTCTTACCCCTACCCCCCAGCTCCCACTGCCAATGGCTGCTGAGTTTCCCTGGAGCCTTTCCAGCCCAACTCTACATGGCCCCTACGGTACCACAGTAGATGCTAAAGTTCAGCCTTGGTCTCTTGCTCATGAGGGAAGGAGGAGAGGGAAGGCAAGGAATCTATCAATTTGGGAGGAGCTGGGATACTGGCCCCATCCCATTACCAAGACTGCTCCCCAGCCTAGCTGGAGAGCTTCTGCTTTGCCTGGATATCTACAGAAAACAATGCAGATAAATGCATTGCGCTTCAAACGACTCCCTACCCTTCTCCTTCTTCTTTTTTTTTTTTTTTTTTGGTGGTGGTTGTTGTTTTTTAAGATAGGGTCTTGCTCTGTTGTCCAGGCTGGAGTGTACAAATCACAGCTCACTGCAGCTTCAACCTTCCAGCCTCAGCCTCCCAAGTAGATGAGAATACAGGTGTATGCCACCACACCCAGGTAATTTATTAATAATTTCTTTTTTTTTTTTTTGGTAGATACAGGGTGTTGCTTTGTTGCTTAGGCTGGTTCAAACTCCTGGGCTTAAGTGATCCTCCTACCTCGGCCTTCCAAGTAGCTGGGACCATGAGTGTGTACCACCATGCCAAGCTAATTTTTTTGACTTTTTTTTTCTTTTTTTTTGTGAGACAGAGTCTCACTCTGTCACCCAGGCTGGAGTGCAGTGGCGTGATCTTGGCTCACCGCAACCTCTGCCTCCCGGGTTCAAGCGATTCTCCTGCCTCGGCCTCCCAAGTAGCTGGGATTACAGGTGTCTGCCACCACACCTGGCTAACTTTTGTATTTTCAGTACAGACAGGATTTCACCATGTTGGACAGGTTGGTCTCGAACTCCTGACCTTGTGATCCACCCACCTCGACCTCGTGCTCCATGGGCCCTGGGCCTCCTACTGGTACCCTGGGACAAGAGCAACACCAGCCCAGCCAGCCCTGAGTGGCCCAGCAGACACCTGAGCCCCAAACCAGCTCCAGACACCCCATTCCTCACCTGTGACCCCAGTGTCTGCCAAGTTCCCATTGCAAAGGCTCCAGCCCAGGGATTTCAGCTCCCCTGCTTCCCAGTGCAATCCAAAGACTGTGCTTTCTAGAGCTACAGTGGTGTGGGCTTTGGCAGGGAAGGTAGGGGAGGGCACACAGAGGGCAAGGGGAGGGGGCTACAAATAGTTGGCTTTTTAAATGGGATTCTCTGGCCTAGTCTTGAAAACCCAATCTAGACTGTTAAATGCAGGAACTGCTGAGCTCCTCTGGCTTACAGCATCTACCCTCCCTCTCTCCCCTTTACTATCTCCCTCTCACCACCTTTAGTTCATAACCGAATTCTTGCAGAGATGTAACCTCTGTCAGCTGATGACCAATACTGCCTCTTCCTCCAAACTGGAAGAGAAGCCTCTCTTTGTTCTCATGACCCTCAGAAAAGTCATTCTTGCAGTCTTTCTAGCATTTATCACAATTGTGAATAACTATGATTCTGTGCTTCTATTTAACGCCTGGCTCCTCTATGAGACTAAAGTTTCATGAGGGCAGGAATCACATCTGTCTTTTTCACTACTCTATCTCCTATAAGAAGGGAGCTGAGAAAATGTCTGTTGAAAAGAAGAAAATACTATTTCATTGTTGTGGTGCTGTGAGAAGTCCTTCTTGCAGTCTAACCTCCAACAGTCTTGCTGCAGTACCAGTTCCTCTCACTCTATCCTCTATGGAGCTAGAACCCTTGCTCTCCCAACTGCCCCTGAAGATTTGGACACCACCTACCCTCCAACCACCCCTGGTATCCCAGTCCTCAACCCTCCCCACCCTCAGGTTGGTTGGTGCAGAGGGTGAGACTCTAAAGTCTTCTAAGGAGCAGCCCTGAGCACATGGAGATGGAGAGGATGGGGTTGCTTAGGCAACTGTCGCCTGGCAACCAGCTCCCTGGCTGATCTCCTACACCGCCCCCCCCACCCCCGCCTCATGCTGGGGGAGCTGGGACGAGAGAGGGATCAGGGCTGAGAAGGCAGGGAAGCAACAGAGATTCACTGAGCATCGTCTGACAGAGAGAAGTCAGGGTTAAAAAGACTAGGCCCCATCTATCCCCACTCCCTACCAAGGTAGCCCAAAGCACTTTTTATAATTCCATGCTTCCCAGGCCCCTTTCCCCACTGCTGCTCCCACTTCTGTGCCAACACTGCCAGAGGAGGAGATGCCCCTGTCTTAGGCAGTCCTTCCTCCCATCTAACCACAAACCCCTCTACAAAGCAGATGCAGTCTATACTGACCTTTTTTCCTTCTGCTATCCATTCCACATTGCTGCAGGGTCTTTGAAAGCCCTGAGGCAAGAACATGAACTCAACCCTGATTTTGGAAGAAGGGGTAGCTGGGGCCTAGGCAGGCACAAAATACCCTAACCTGACCCTATCCAAGGTTTGGAGGCCTATCCTAGCTAAACTTCCCTCCTACCCAATTAGGGAGGTTTTAATGAACACCTGGACCTCCTTAATTAGCCCTCTGCCTAATTACCTAACCAACTGGCAGGAGCCAGAGGCCTGGGCATCTGTTCTCCAGATGTGAGTCTCTCCTCTCCAGCCTCACCTGGCCCCATTCTTCTCCTGTCTGGTCTACTCCTCCTCTAGGAAGCCCTCGCAGATGATCCGGCCCTTGGCTGCTTCTCTTCTAACCATCTCTCCTTCACCCTGCCTAGTATCTGGAGCCCAGGGCTTGGGAGGACTTGGGCTACCAAAGAGACAGGGGGTTGGCCAGGATGGCCTTCCTGTTCTGATGGCCCCAGGGCCTGCCCAATCCTGACCTCAGGCCACAACTATGACTCCTCGGGCTGACAGTATCTATGTCACCAAAAGTTCCCCTTCAAAGGCTCTCAAGGCTCTGGCTGATTGACTCTGATTCACCTGACTCCGTGGACAGGACAAGGGTGGGGCGGAGTGAACCTTGTGGGTGGCAGGGGGTTGGGACAGGCAGAGGCAGGGCCTTCCTGGTGGACATGGGAGAAGCAAAGATGGGCAGGACATTTGGCAATGCCCACCCATATCTGTTCCCATCCTAGTGGTCCCAAGGCTCAAAGAAACTACAGGGCATCTGCTTTCAAAGCTCCCATACCAGCACAGGTCAAAAGGGAGCAGATGCCCAGAGAGGGAAACAGGCACAAACTCACCAACTGTGGAGAAGGGTGGCTGAGGAGAAGCCTTCACAAATGGACAGCAGGGAGGATGCAGGGCAGGAGGCCCCTCTGACAACACCCTTGACAAAGAGAGCTGAGGGGACCAGGGGGAATCAAGAAGGACCCCACTGATAGCCATTTTTCCAATCCCAGGTACCGACCCAATTAGAACTTGTGGGTTGTGTTTACATGCAAATGAGCTACACATGATGTGCAAAATGTACCGTAAAGGAGGACTGGTTTGGAGGGGGCATGGGAGAAGAAACAGGTCCCTGCCTCCCCCAATGCAACACCTCTGGGTACCTGAGCAATATTCAAACCATTCTCGGGTTTCAGAATGATGCTATCTCAGTTCCTGTGTGAAGGTGGCCTGGGGCCAGTGGGGAGAGCGGTGAAGGGGAGAGGTCAGGGTAGCCTCCTTGCAGCTGCAGCAGGGCTGAGCAGGGCTGTCCTTCCCATGGAGCTGCAGGGGAATTCCTTTCCGATAGCCAGCCTCTATCCTCTCTTTCTTGCTCTTGGCAGGGGAGTACCTACCTGTCCTTCTCCCCTACACCCTTCCACCCATATCTGTTCCCATCCTAGTGGTCCCAAGGCTCAAAGAAACTACAGGGCATCTGCTTCCAGAGCTCCCATACCAGCACAGGTCAAAAGGGAGCAGATGCCCAGAGAAGCTGAGTGAGCAGCCTCGCATCACAGAGCAGTGGGCCTCAACCTGCTCTTCCTCATGGTGAGAAAGGGAGCTCTCATTAGGCAGGCCCTTCATCTCTTCCTCCCAGGCTGCTCCGGGCTGCAGGCTGAGGACTGGAGGGGAAGGCAGGAGGCGCTGGAGACAGCTGTCATCCCTCCTCCCGCCCCTTCCCTGTGGCTGGGCTGCAGGGCATGAAATAAGCAGCAGGCGCTGGGGGAGGGGGTGACAATCCAATCCACCTGTCACCCCCACAGTCAGGCAGCCTCAAGCAGCCTGCTCACTAACGAGGGAGGAGGCGTGGGTGAGGCAGACACAGAAGAGGGTGGCAGAGGGGGGACAGACACACAGACACAGGAAAGATGACAGAGAAAAAGAGGCAGCGAGGCCAGAAGGCATTATGGGGCAGAGGCAGAGACAGATAAGGAGAGGGCTAGAGGAGAGGGAGAGGCAGGAGACCACAGAGACAAAGATTCAGAGAGAAGCAGGTAGAGAACAAGAGACAGGTTCAACAACGGCTTCCAGGACTGACTCCTGGCCCAGCGCTGGGGGAATAACTCAACAGGACACCATCCCTGCCCTCTGAGAACTTGCAGTGCAGCCAAGAGACAGACAAGGGAGGGGCAGGTCCCACCCAGGGCAAGGGCAGGGAGAGGCAAGGGGGCCCTTGGGGGCCTGGACTGGACCCAGACACAGCCCCAGAAGGAGCATCCCAGAGCAGGCAGGCCGGCCCTGAGAGGCAGCAGAGGTGAGGACCGAGGACCAAGGACGACAGCTGCCCAGCTGAATCCCCAGGCCCTGCCTTATTACCCAGTCTACCCTCAGGTTCACAACCTTCCTAGTCATTCTCTCTTCCAACTTCAGCCCTGGGACCTCCTCCCTAGTACAGAGACACAGGCTAAGGAGCTCTGGGAGACAGGGCAGGAAGGTGAAGCCGGTGATGCCCCCAAACACCCAGGCAAGATGGTCCAGGATCATTCTGTGGTTCACACAGTGAGCTCTTCCTTCACAAAAGAAGTGGGGGGCATTACCCCTCCGAAGTCTGAGCCAAGGCAGGAGCCTCACATTGTCCCTCTCCCCATCCCACACACAGCCCAATTCTCACAACCCCTCCTGCGAGGCCTGCTCCCCACGCCCCTACTCCTGGGCCCCTCTCGGGTCTCCTTCTCATGCTCCGTTCCCTCTGCCCCCTCTCTGTCCCCGCCCCCTCCCACAGCAGCCTCTTTTCTTCACCCCAGAAGTGCTTCTAGGGTCTGATCTCAAAGGCAGAGACCCAGCCCCAACCCTTCAAAGTTCTGTCTGGCAGGCTCACTACCCAAATCCCTGGTTCCCACCGTCTTTCCCTCCCTCGGGGACTCCCCTCCCCCAGTCCAGCAGCCTCAGGGCTGGGCAGGGGCTATTTTTAGCCTGGGCACTGAGCTAATTTTAACTCACCGACTGGGGACCTGGGGGCGGGCTGTTGGTTTGTGGGGGCAGGCAGTCCAGGAAAGCTGGGCCTAGGGCAGGGGTGGTCTCAGGCCCCAGGCACCCTAAGAACTCAAATGGGGGGCAGGCCCTGCAGTCTCAGCTTAAGGGACAGGAACCGACTTGCCAAGGGGAGCACACGGTATGGAGAGCAGGGCTGAGCCCTCCCCCTAGCTTCCGCTGGACAACTCTCCCGAGCCCCACCCTAGCCTTCCCGCCCTCTTCTCCCTGGCAAGTCTCCTGGGATGGGGTCATCCTGTTCTCTGCCCAGGAGATGCCTCTCCAGTGAGGGTCTGTCTCCTGAGCCTCCTCCATGTCTTCCTCACCCCAGCTTGTTCTTCCTGTAGTCTAGCTCTCATCCTTCCTGTAGCAGCTGTGAGGCCATTTGGCTCTCTACAAGGCAGCAGCCTGTCCGCCAGGGTCCAGCACTTCCCACTGCAGCTCTGACCTTCCCCTTATGGCCTCTGGGCTGGCTCCTAGGTAACCACCCCGCACCCCCACAAAACAAGCTCCTAGAGCTAGCCAGACTGTTCTCAGAAGTATTTGGGGGCAACAGGAGATTGAGTCCCAGTAGAGAAGGGATGGGTGAGGTAGGGCAATGAACAGCTTAGGGAAATATGGGGTCTCTAAGCTGGGATTCTGGATACCTGGGTTCTAGTCCCTGCTCTGGTCTAAGATGTGATCCTGAGTAAGTCACTGCCTTCTACAGGCTTCACCCCACTGGCCAGTATTATGGGTAGCTGGGTGGACTAGGTACCCAAATGCCCTTCTGGCCCAAACACATGGCTCCTGTGCTCTCTGGGGAGGCCCAAAGGGAAGGGAGATCAGAATTGTGTAAGTCACGGAGAGGAACTGAAGAGATGGCCTGGCTGGGTCTGTCATCCTCCTGCTGGGGAGGAAAGGCAATGAGGGCGCTAGAAGACAGTCAGGATGGGGCTGGTGAAGGGGCAGGTGCCTTCTAAACAGTAACCCCCCAACAGATGGCCAAGGGTTCACAAAGGCTCTGGTCAGCCAGAACAAGTACCAAGTGGGGCACACAAGGCCCTTGTGGCAGAGGCTCAGTCATCCCAATCCCCTCACACACTGGGAATGCCTATCAGACCCACCTGCTTGTGGTTACTGAGCAGCAACTAGCCCAAGGTCACTGTTTGGTCCCTGGTGGGACCAGCTCTAGAACCCAAGCCTAAGGCTGTCTTCATACTCCATCCCAGCAGGCCGAGCTGCAATGACTCACCACCACTCATTTGCATGAGGATTTGCATAGCGTCTCTGACCTTATTCCTTCAGGCTCAACTTCCCATTCCAGGACCTGGGTCACCCCCACCCAGGATCCGTAGGCACTTGCGGACACCAAGTGGAGTTCTTGGCACCTCAGGCCTTTGTTCCCATCTTTCCCCTCCAGAAAGCATTCTTGGATTTATAGTAACTCCCAGTGATACAGTATAGAGCTCTCAGTCCAACTGGGTCCCCTACTCTTGTCTAGGCAGAGATGGGGAAGGGGTGTGAAATCACGAGGAATAAGCAAGCATGGCAGCTACAGGAGTTTGGTAAGATTCACAGGGTGAAGTGTGGCTCTGTCACTGCCTTGGGGCGTCACAGGAGAAGAATCCCATTCCCCTCTTTAGTGCTAAGGTTGGGGCGGCAGCAGCAGGAGGGAGGTGAGCTGTCCTTTACTTCCATTTCTAGCTCCATTTCCAAAACGCATCCACAGTGCAGGGTGGGAGTAAATGGCCCAGGACAGCAGGTAGGACAGATATAAGACTACAGAAAGAACTTCTCAGGGCTGAGTCCTTGGACTCAAAGTAGTCTCTGGGGCTCAAACTTGCTTTGTCAGAAGCCCTCCAACCAAGCATGCGAGGCTGGTGACACGTGGGAGGGCATGGAGGCCCCAGCATTGTATGCCAACCAATGGGAGCTGCAGACAACCAATCTCCTACCTACCTTTAAGTCTGACCTACATTTGTCCAGAGTATCTACACCTCTCCCATATCTTCTGAAACAATGAAGCCCAGCAGTGGTCTCCAATCCTAGGAAGTCCTTCCTGCTATCTAACGGCCATCCCTCCCACCGCAGCCAATCTTCCACTGTTACCTAACCCAATTTGGTCATCTAAACAAGAGCAATGGACAGGGGCCCTTGGCTATCAGAAGCCCTGGCTGAGGAGAGGTGGGGGCGGTTGGGACGGTTAGTGTGTCACCTTCCACCTCCCCAACACAACTTCCCTCTGGGGTCTCAGGAGACAGAAGTGAAAGTGGCAGCTGGGGCCTTGGGGGCGGGTCAGCTTGAGAGCCGTTGGAATGAGCATAATGCCACCAGTGCTGGGTCTGGGCTGCCTGCCATTGCAGCGGGTGGGCTAATGGTTAGATCAGGGGAGGGACTTCCCATGGAAATAAGTGCATGGGGTAATGAGGAGTGTGGGCCCCTGGCCAAAGGAAGAGCAGGCTGAAGAGATAAAAATGGAGAGAGGCAGGCAGCAGACAGTCTCAGAAGGGCATTCTCTTCCTGGGCAGTGTTTGTCCCCTTTTTTAAAGCAGCAAGATCCTTTCTTCTCACCCACAGCACTGAGACAGGGCTGCTCTGGCTGAAGCAGATGAAGGGGGTCTGAGCCCTGATTGCTGGGACATGAGAGCTAAGAGAGAGGGGAAAGAGTCCAAGGCCTGGGCCCTCAGACTGGACAGCACCAATTATGAGGAAAGGGGAGGTGGAAAACATGAAGGGTTCACCTACGATGATGACAGGGGACCCGAAAGAGGCCAATCCAATCAGGGAAAGCAAATCCTCCTAGAGACATCATGACCTCGAGAAGCCACTGAGGATTTAAAGGGGCCGTTCAGGGCAATAGCTGGGTCTCCTTCTAACTCGAAGGACAGTCCTCTAAGCCCCTGGCAGCGGAGGGAGGGCGGGCATTGTGGCTGCGTGGGCCTGCTGAGGCGGCCAGCCAGGCAGCTCTTACAGGATTAGCTTGCTGCTTTCAGGAAAGGTGCCAGGTGAGGCTAAGATGCCCAGCCAGATGGAGGGGGGCCCAGAAGGAAGGGGGTGGGGAGAGCAGTACCTGCACAAGGCTATGCAGATACATGTCGCCAAATCCGTGCTCCTTACCAATACCTGGCTTCTCACCCTTTCATGAGGATGCCGTGCAGGGACCCCTCAGATTTTTGCCAGCAAGGACCTCTGCCTACCAAGTTTTCCTTGCCATTACTATGATCTGGAGTTATCCTTCCTCTGAGGGGAAGTCCTGCCTGTTGTCTACTCTTGACTCCCCTGCTACAGTTTACAACCAGGGCCCCACCCCTCAGAACAGGTGAGGGGCTAAGCAGTTCCCCTAACTCCCCTCCTTCTTAGCTCCCCACCCCCAGGCTGACAGGTGGGGGAGATAAGAGGGAGCAGCTGGGCTAGGACACCTGTCCCCACCCAGCCATCATGGGCCCCAGAGGCCTGCATAAGGAGACTCAGCATAGAGGAGGCAGTGGTGGTGGCTGGAGGAAAGGGCCCATAGGTTAAGGAGAGAGGTGACAGGAAAGTCTGAGAAACCCACTTTCAGATCATCCCATCCTCCTGGTCTACCCCAACCATCATCCCTCACCAAAAGCACAATACACACATGCTTTAAAGGGAAAATCTCAAGGTTTGAGGTCATCCCTCAAACCCCTTGCTCTATTCCCTTGTTACTTGATCCAACTGGAGTGGGAAGACCCCAGGAAAAGAGACCAAGCCCCACTCTCCTCACTCCACCCGCCTGCCGTGCATTTCTACTTGAAACTCAGGGATGGGCTCTCCCCGTATTCTTTGTTCTCTCAACCCTCAACCCTAGGTATTTGCTGGTGGGCTGAGGATGAGAGAATCACGAGGGATAAGCAAGCATGCAGCCAGAGGGATCTGGCAAGACTCGTGGGGCTAAGTGTGGAGGAGGCAGGTTCTGAGACAAGGAGACGGCTGGATGGGGAGGGGAGGGCTGGGCTCAGCTTCCCAACCCATCCCAGGGCCAAACGGAGCCCTAGGCCAGGAGGAACCCTCAAGGCCTCCTCAATCCCTACCCTGGACACCAAAGGCATTCCTTGCCCCCACCCCTGCTTCTGGGTAGCTGCCTTAGCAGGCCAGTCCTGGGCCAGGCTGGGGCTGAAGGTCTGAGAGAAAAGATGCAACCATCACACTTTTTCTGGCGGAAACTCCTTCCCTTCCCATGTGAGGCAGGTAGCACCACCTCCCTTTCACAGGTATGGAAACTCACACAGAGATGGGCAGGGACTTCCTCAAGGTCACCAGAAATAAGGGGCAGAGGCAGACTGACTGTTGGGCACAGGGCTTCTGCTTACAACCTGGATGGGAGTGGGAGGGAGTCTCCCTCCACCGGGGAGTTCTAGCACATTCCTTCCAGGGCCCATTCCCCAGGTCTGGGCCTGGGAGGCTCACATTGGCCTTGTGTCTGCCTTGAGACAAGCCCAGCCTCTTGTGGTCCAAGCCTTCCCACTCTAGTGTCTCTTCTCATTCATCCCATGCGGCAGCTCACAGGGACAGCAGGAGGGGTCTCGGAGTGTCATTTGTTCCTGCCCTCACACCCTTGCTTTGGGGGCTTTCTCCATGACACTCAAGTCAAAACAATACCCTCCTCACCTTGCCACCAAAGGCTGATTCTCTGCCCTCTGCTGAGGAATCCTGGTTTTCTCTTCCCTTCAATTTCTCCTCCTCCTCTCAGGTCTCCGTGGGCCTCCTTTCCATTGCCCCGTCCTGCAGGGCAGGATCTCTCCTTTAATCTCAGACAAAAGCCCTTTATACTTCATAACTAGGAAAGCTTAAAAGTCACTTACATCTCTGAGACTCAGTTTCCCAATTCAAAAAAACAGTTTTAGAGAGAAACAGTCTTCTTATATTCCCATGCTCAGTACAAAGCTTGGCACACAGGAACATAAGAAATGGAAGTTTCCTTCCTCCCTTTTGAGAACCCATCACCTCTCTTCATTGGGATCTCAAAAGTTTTGGTTTTTGGGCGGGGCACGATGGCTCACACCTGGAGTCCCAGCTACCTGGAAGGCTGAGGCCGGAGGATCGCTTGAATGGGAGGCTGCAGTGAGCCATGATGGCACCACTGCACTCGAGCCTGGACAACAGAGCAAGATCCTACCTCAAAAAAAATTAAAAAGTTGTGGTTTTTGGTCTTCAAAGTATACTGGAAAGTTGGGCAAGAGGGGTAATGCTGAGGGTAAAGCTCCTTTGACCAGGGGGCAAAAAAAAAAAAAAAAGCTCCCTCTGCATGGTTTCCTCGTCTGCTCAGCTCCTAGGAGAGTGGCCACAGCATCCAGCCAGAGGCACCAAGCCAAGGTCAGTGACCAGGCCTAGAGCCCAGAGCCTCCTGGGAGGGTAAGTTTAAATGAGTAAATATGGTCCCACCTGGGTGTGGCCAGCGACAGGCCAGAGCTTCGGACATGTCCCTCCCCTCCCAGCCTACAGCAGAAAGAAAAGAAGTCAGACAGGCACAAGTGCCTCCCGCCCCCTTGGCTATCAGGGTCCTGTGCAGAATCAATGAATGCATTCCCCTGTCTCCACACCAGCCAGGACTAACCAGAAGCATAACTTGGCTCTCAGGAAAGAGAGGCTTGTAGCCTCAGCCTCAGGAAAAGGAAAATGTCAGATGAAGAGGGCCTTGGGGATCACCTAGGCCAAGGATCTACCCCCAGATGCCTGATGGCTTAGATGTAGTCTTGATGCCTCACAGTGGCCTTGCTCATCAGGGTGAGCGGGGAGGGCAACAGAGACCAGCGACAAACCACCAAAACACCCAGGTGTTAATCACCGAAAGGCGAAACTCTGTACATCTGGAAAGCTGGGGCCCAAGAGGAGGGACCCGGGGACACACGGTCAGTGTGAGGGGCAGAGGCAGGCTGTGCCAGGAACACAGAGAGGGGCACGTGGGGGAGGGGTAAGGGGCAGGGATGGAAGTCAGCCAAGGCTCCTTGACTCACAAGCCATGCTCTTTATTTTGCAGACAGGGCTCTGCCTGCCCATCTGTGGTCTAACCTTAATCCCTCCTGCTCCAGTCAGCCCTTCTCTCTTCAAAGTTCTTGCTATGCCCTTCGCCTTCTTGCCTCCGGTCCCCTCAACCCCATCCCAACTCTCCAATCCTTTAATCATCTTTGCCATTCACTACCCCCCACCTCCCGCAGTGCAGCAGCTGCTCTGTGGGTGTCTACATACCAGTGTGTATGTGTTGCACACTTTCCTGCATGTGTACCACTAAATGCTGTGGACTGCATTGGGCATGCCTGTCTACATGAGACCCTTATCTAGCTCCCACTACTGGGGGAAAGGGGCCTAATGGCTATTTCTCCCACAGCTCCAGGACAAACGCCTCAGAATACTTTCAGCCATAAGCAGGGAGAGGAAAAAGAAGATAAATATTCCGAGATCCAAATAGCACCGACCCCACCAAGCCAAAGGTCAAGGCCTTTCCTTTCGGGAGAGCCACTGGAAAAGAAAGTGCTTTGAGTTCCCCTCCTTTCCTATGCAAAATTAGAGCCATCTCTCTCCCCCCCAGCTTCCCCACTGGGAAGTTCTTCCTGAAGTCTAAGCTCCATCCTACCTGCTGTGATCATGGATAGACAGAGTGACATCGACCACAATACAGTCAGACGTCCAGCTTCTAGAACACAGCTTCTAGTACCTAACCGCCCCTCCCTCCATGAGTAAGTCACCAAACTGGGACAGAAGGACAGACAGTTGGCCGGACTCCGGCCCCATGACTGGCTCATAAAAGCCACCAGCAATTACAGTGATGCTGAGGTTGTGCCGGCCTGCCACCATTTCCTCCTTCTCTATAAAAAAGAGATAGTTGCCTCAAACCAGCTGGCCTGAGAGAGCCTCGAGAGTCCCAGCCATGGTCCCGTGGGATGGGGAGAATCCCAGCACCACAGTGCCATGAGACTCAGAACCTGACCCTTGATGATGGGTTCCAGGCTCACATCGGATCCTCATACCCACTTATAGAACCTGATGAACACCAACGATGACCTGTGTCCAAGAGGTCAAGGCCTGTATTAAGTCAAGGCCCTCAACTCCTCTTTTCCAGTAAGGCCACCACTCTCTCGACTAGAGGGGCAAAGAAGCAGGGGGCCTGACTCAAATAGAACTAGGGAAATGTTGGGCCCACCCACTTGCTCCTGGACTTCCCTTGTCCCCATAAAGGTACTCAGGTGTGTGGCAAAGTGTCCAACCAAGGGCCCACACCAGGCCAGCGTAAGTCCTGAGATTCTGGATCCAGTGCCAACCAGGGAGAGCAGGGGGCCCAGCTGGTCAGGAAGAGAAAGTTGACAAAATGGGGAGAGGTCCAGGCCTCTCTGGGGGTATAAGAGCCAGGGACGACCACAGCAGAGGGACCCTCTGAGGGCACGGTAGAGGAGAAGGGTCTGAGGGGCTGGGCCATAATCAATGAGGGCCTATCCCCAAGGCCTCCTCGGGGGCCAAGGCACCTCCCACTCCAAGCTTCCTTACTACTGCTCCTTTAGCTCCCCCCAACCTGAAGAGTCTCCCTCTGGCTTCTCTTCCCTATCACATCTCCCAGGAAAGATTAAAAAAAAAAAAAAAAAAAAAAAAAACCCTGCTACAGAGAGATTATATAACAGCAGCCAGAAAGACTATCATATCTCCCAGCCTATGAGAAGAACCAGGAGCCAAGGGGGCAGAGCCAGGATGCCCAGGCCCTCCAGCCCAGGGGCACCAAGCACAGAGTGGGGTGGACACGGACAGCACCTGCCACCCCTCCAAGTCCTCCACCAATCTTTCAGGCATTGAGTACAGCAGACAGAAGCTCTAGCCAATTCCCCATGCCCATCCCCCAACACAAGGATCATGAGGCTCTCTGGGTCCTGCTTCTTCCCTTGGACTGGGGCTTCCATGAACACGGACTGTATGTCTCCCTTCCCAGAATCCCTCCCTACTATGAAGTTGTGCCTAAAAGAGTGGAAAGACGAAAGCTCTGACACAGATTTGCTGTGTGATCTCAGGTAAAAAACTCAACCTTTTGGGTCCCTACAGGGGTGAGTAAAAGCTCCTCCCTTCCTCCCTTCCCCCCTCCCCCCCTTCCCCCCAGAGAGACCAGAGACCTCTCCCTTTACAAATGTACATGCACACACATACATATACACACATATGCAAACATACAGGGTGTGTTGGCGGGGGCAGGGGAGTTACAACAAAGAGAATATAATCACTGAGACCCAAAGGTCCAAATGCCTATGCTGGGGCAAGTGGGGAAGGAGCTCCATATAAGCTCCAGTGTCCCCCAATCACCCCGTATAAAGAGGTCCTCAGCCACTCCCACAATAGTCCTACCCCACCCCCATCTCCTGCCCAACACACTGGGAAACCACAGGAAGGAAATTCATTCCCAGGCAGGGCCGTGGGAGCTGGGACAGCCAGACTAAGTCCTGGGGCGGGTGTGACCCCGTGGCCACAAGCGGGTGGACATCTGTGAACACTGACATGTGCCTTTTCAATGCTCTCCTCAGCTACTGAGACCTTCCTGTTGGGGTTGGGAGAGGAGTGGGAGGTGGACAGCTCCCAAACGCCAAAACACCCAATCTCAGGCTGACCTGCGCTCCCCTCCTATCTCCAGGCCAGAGCAGCCCAAGGTCACCGCCCCAGACGGCAAACTTCCCATAGTCTAGGCTGGACCCTGAATTGCTGCGGAGACCCACTGAAGGGATAGGAGGAGGAGTGGATAAGGGCCACCTCCACCCCAAAGCAAAGAAACCAGGACTCTGAGGAAAACTCAAATGGGGGTTGGGCACAGCAAAGAGGGACACAGGATCCCCCCCAACCCGCTATACCCTCCCCCAACCCATCAACAATGCACCAAGCAATGGGAGGCAGAGGGAGGCTCCCATTCAGAAGGGCAAACCTGGGATAACCCGGTCGGTGGCTTCTAGAGTGCCTTCCTTTCAGGAGGAGTCCTCGGAAGGCTGCTGAGAGGACAGCGTGATTCACTAGGGGGAGGGGGCCCCTTTCCCCATCCCCCTAAGACCCGAACCTGGTAGGAGAGAAGCTGGCATTGGAGTGGGGGACTAAAAGCATTTTGGTCTCCTTGGCCCATCCTCCCAAAAGCCCCCCCAAACTCCCTAAACCCCCGCTCGCAGCCCAGCTCCGCCTGCCATAGGTGGAAAGGACTAGAGAACTCTTGCCCAGATGTTGAACAGCTGCAAACTTCTGGCCAGGGAGTTCTCCAGTTGGGGTTACTGACAAACCACATCAGGGGTCTCGGAAGCGGGGCTAGGAGGTCTCAAGGAAGGGTCCTGCGTGCCCACCTCGTGGCGACTCCGCGTCCCAACTCCACAGGCACCCGGCAAACACGGGCCCCGGAGACACACACACTCACACACCCCAACCCACTACCCCGGTGTCATCTGAACAACATCCCCCCTCCCTCCCCCGCTTCCCAAACAGCTGCGGCTCCCCCCGCCTCCACCCTCCCGCCGCCCTCCCAGGCCCCCTTCTGCACCA
This sequence comes from Homo sapiens, assembly GCF_000001405.40. Taxonomy (NCBI): domain Eukaryota; kingdom Metazoa; phylum Chordata; class Mammalia; order Primates; family Hominidae; genus Homo; species Homo sapiens. The sequence continues at coordinate 58,588 of NW_025791758.1, forward strand.
TTTCGGGCCAAGGAGGAGGGAACAGGCGGCGAGAGGAGGGAGAGGGAGGGAGGGCCGGCTGTTAAAATGTCAGTCGCTCCCGACTGTCACCGGAGACCCCCTCGGAGGATGGCGCCCCGTCCCAGACCGCTCGGAGGCCGTCGTAAACCCCCTACACGAACAGGCGGGCGCGCCCCCAATCCGCCCGTCCCCACCCCGTACTCCCAACACCCAAGGGAATTGCAGCCCACTCCACTTGTCCCCCACGACAGACTCCCTGACACAAACAGTCCCCTAGGTAATCCCCGCCAACGCCACACGAAAACACGGCCCGCTTCGCGAGTTCCTCCCGGCCCGGGGGCTGCCCCATCCCACCCCTCAGGGGGACGGTCTAGACCACCCTCCACCCCAACCCCTGGACCGGGTGGGGGAGGGGGCCTCTTAAAGTGGCAGGCGCATTATTTTTCTCTACTCACCAGCCCGGCTGGGGGAACGGTGTTGTCACGGCAAAGAGCGGGTAGCCCTCGCCCCTGGTCCGGGGGATCTTCAACACCGGGAAGCCGCAGCTCCGGGCGGGGAGAATAATAAATGAGGCCGGCGTCCGCGCGGGCCCTGGGCGGCGCCGTGAGGCCTGGGCCCCCGTCGTGGGCGCGGGGGCCAGCAGGCGGGCGGCAGGCAAGCGGGGAACCGGGGCCGAGCGCCTGAGCCGCCTCGGCTGTTGTTGATATTTTGCTTCCTTCCTCCTTTCGGGCTCCAAAGGTAACTCCTCCAGCCCCCGGGAGTCGAGGCCGACGTAGGCACAGCTCAGCCTAGCTTGAGGGGTGGGGGGAAAGGGGTGACGGACAGGCGTGGGGGCCAATGGGAGGCACCTGTGGGGGTGGCGGGGCGGAGCCGGGGCTGGGGCGGTCCCGAGGACGCGGCCCCGCCCCTCGCTTCCCCAGGGCTGGCCGGGCCAGGCCGGGTCGGCCCCCACCCCACCGCCCTCCCAAGCTAGGCTGCGGCGCTGGGAGCGGCGGATCCCTCCGCCTGCCGGGAGGGAGGGAGGAAGGGACGAAGCGAGGCAAAGTAGGGAGGCGAGACCCAGAGGCCTTTAAAGGGATCGGTCCGCTCCCACGGTGCCCCTCGGAGCACGCCGGCCGCCCGCCCGCCCGCCTGGCGCTGCTGCCACCGCGTGCTCCAGGAGGTCCTTTCCGGGGAGGCCGTGCGAGCTGCACGCACACTCTCAACACGCGCCACCTCGGCACCTCCTCGCGGCCCCGGGCCCCAGGAGAGTTGGGAGGTGGGAGTCTAAGTAGATAAATTAAGGGGAGACTGGAAGTGGTGAAAAGCTCCCATCTCCCCCACTTGGTGTGTGACAAAGCCCCACTCACGGGCGACATTCTTGGGGTTGGGGGGTGTTACCTAGGGAGCTCAGTTGCTCCCTCTACCTGTGACAGGCCCCCTCCGGTCCCAGGGCCCGGCTCGGCAGACGCCCAGCAATTTAAAGCGACAGCTCATAGTTCTTGGGTGACCTAATCTCCAGTGCTTGCGGGGCCCCACAGCACTTACTGCCGAGGGGGCAATTTAAAGGGGCGGGACCCTAATTCCTCCCCACCTCCCGCCGCACAGTAAACACCCAGAAATGTCTTATTAAAGAAGCAGTAGTAGCTCTTTAAAATTTTTTATTTTTATATTCCTGGTTGCTCCAGGGTGTGGTGAATATTTACGTGCCCTACAACAGGAGTGTGGGTGCCATGCCTACTGGACAACTGACCCGTCAGGCTTCAGCATCCCTGTTACTTCCAAGTCCTGCTGCTTTCTCCCAAGAGCGTAAGGAAATGATGGCATCTGGCTTAGATCTCAAAGAACCTTGCAGAACAGAAGGGCACTCACTCAGTTCTTCACACACCCCGAATTTTTTTTTTTTTTTTTTTGAGACGGAGTCTTTCTTCGTCGCCCAGGCTGGAGTGCAGTGGCGCGATCTTGGCTCACTGCAACTTCCGCCTCCCAGGTTCAAGCGATTCTCCTGCCTCGCCTCCCCTCCCGCCTCCCGAATAGCTGGGACGACAGGCGCACGCCCCCACGCCCGGCTAATTTTTTGTGTTTTAGTGGAGATGGGATTTCACCGTGTTACCCAGGCTGGTCTCGAACTCCTGAGCTCAAGCAATCCGCCCGCCTCGGCCTTCCAAAGTGCTAGGATTACAGGCGTGAGCCACCGCGCCCAGACACACACCCTGATTTCTGGCTGGATCTGATTTACCGGACAAAGACTCCAATATATAGAGAGAGGCAACATGTCATTGTGGTTAGAAATGTCAACTTTGCCGTCAAGCTGTCCTGGTTCAGATCCTCACTCCACCATTCATTAGCTGTGAACACAGGCATATTATTTAACTTTCCCCTACCTCATGGTGACCATGACTAGAGATGGTGATAATAGTAGCTAACTCAGAAATTTAGTGTGAAGATTAAATTAGTTCTTCTAAGCAGATTGCTTAGTACAGTGTCTTATGCTGTATAATAACCCAAACCAGACCATTGGGCCAAGGGCTGGTCTGCAAAGAACCCTCTAGGCCTCCATTGGCTCATGCAAGCCTTAAAGGAGGTGAGTTCAGTGGAATTGCTCTGCAAATAGGTTGGAGACTTATCTTGTGTGTCCTAAGACAGGAAGCCAGCAAGCTCCTACTTCCTTGGCCTCAGTTTCCAACCCTTCTACCTGACCCCCCCCTTTCAGGAAACAGTGTCCCACCGTGTCCCCAAATACAGCTTCTCAGTTCCTCATTGGATCTGGGAGGCTGGGGCCCCAACACCAGAAGATGTGAGTTACCCCTGCCAGGCAGGGCTAGTTTGCCCAAAAGACTTCAGGGTAGGCAGGGGGAGCCCATCTGCCTCTTCCCCCAAGGACAGAGAAGAACAGAGCCCTGTGCCAGGCTTGAGGCTGTGGCAGTAGCAGGATGGGAAAGTGCCAACCCCCCTCAAGTGGGGAACCTCCCCTCACTTGTGGCCTCTATTTTTAGTGCTTCCCTAGGCTCTAGCTGGAGAAACCGTTTAGTCATCAGGGTGTTTATTTTCCGGCTGTTTCCGACGTCAGGAAAGCAGAATGTTGAGACTGAAGAGATCCAAGGCTGCTGGAAAAGACTTCTTAGGATCAGGCCTGGGAATTCAGCCGTCAGACCCCTGGGTCCCAGATCACACACACACACAAAAGAAAGTGGGCAGGGGTCAGCCAAGCCCCCAGGAGACCAAGAGAGCTGGGTTCTCAGCCACCTCCAGTTTCGAGGCTCTCCAAGCCGAAGAACCCTCTGGCTCCAGCTCTACTTGAAGGAGTCTCTACAAAAACTAACCAACCCGAGAACAAATTCTTGCCCAGGGCCGATTCCCAGAAACCCCCTCCCCAACATCCTTTATACCAGCGTGGTGAGCCTCCCGCCAACCACAGTTCCAACCAATCTCAAGCCTGAGGTAGGCTTGCCAGGGCTATGATTGGCTGATTGATCCTCCCAGTCTTGGAATGTTGGGTCCTTAACAAAGGAATGAGGAAGGAAGGTGAGTCACCTGGGGAGGGTTTTAAAGGGCCAGGAGCAGGAGGGAAAAGGGAAAGGAGGGAAGAGCTCAGTGGGTGAGATGCAGTGTGCTGGACCCCGAAGATGCTGCCATAATTCCCTAGAGAACAGAGTAGGAAAGACAGACACTACAAGTGGGATAGAATTTAGAATATAGAGAAAACTAAATGGGAGAGCAAAAGTAACAAACACAGGGCCTTAATTCCCATGGAAGGGTAATAAAGGGTCTAGGGAATAATGTTGTTGGAAGTTAGATTGAAATAAGGACTTCCTGAAAGTGACTCACTGAATCTTTTTCTTCTGGCCCCTGTATTTCCCATTCCAGAATCCCCTGGGTAGGAAATACCTGAGCGAGTTCAGATGCCTCGGTCTCATTTTTCCTCCTCCCACTCTGGCTACCCATCCATCTTTCCTAGAGAAAAGTTACCTAACAGGCCAAAGCTGCTATAAAATCCTTTAGGAATCAAACACTTACATGCTCATTGAAGTCTTTTAAAAGTGTGTGTAAACTCCTCTCCACCATATCATCTTTGTAAGTTTATATGGCAAAGGGACATAGACAACTCCTTTTGTTCACCCCTTCCCAAGCATACCTAATCCAACTTAATTTGTAAAAGTCTTCCTCATCCTCATGCCCCAAGGGCCGTTTCTCTGCCTGCCTGTCCCATAGCCCCGGGAAGCCATTACTGCTGCTCCAGCCTCTAATCTGTCTGGCAGCTTGGTTGGCCCCCTCTCACCTTCCCTACAGCCATCTGGACAATCTCCAGCCCCCTATGTCCATCCACCTCATCCCTTCCATTAGCTGATAATTTTTCCCCCAGTTTTCAATTGATCCCGGCAGTCCCTTCATCTGCCACCTTGTCTTGTGAGAGGAAAGGCCATCAGCAGGTATACAGCAGTTCTGTGTATACATGCTCTGTGTGGACTTGGGTATTATTCTGCACCTGCTTGTGTAGTGCACTCTACTCTGTGTATCTGCCTCCTCTGTACACACTCCTCACCAGATCCTGGGCCCCTTGAGGGCAGCAATCTAACTCTACTTTGAGTCTTCAGGGCCTTGCAGGACCTGGCATAGAATGCGCTCAGCAAATGTGTTAACACGAATCTGTATTTGTGTGTGCGTGTGTGTGTGCAGCTATGCATCTGAGTTCAGATTATAAAAACGTTTATTGAACATCTCATTTGTCCATTGATAACTGTGCTAGCCTGAGGATGGGGCTGTGGTCTGGCCTGTCCCACCACCCCGCACAAGTCCCACTTCAGGCCAGAATTGAGGGGAAAGGGCAGAGTCAGGCAGAGAGGTGTCAGGCTGAACCGGCAGAGTTGTGCCCCAAGCTCAGGGCCAGGGTGCCTGGGGCCAGGCCTGGGGCAAAGGGCAGACGGCCCACCCTGGAGCTGAAGCGGGCAGGGAGGGGGTGCCAAAGCCGGGTCCTCGGTCAGTGCATCACCCCCACAGAAGCTCCCTGCCCCCGGCTGGGCAGGATGTGGTGGCAGCTGCAGGAGAGTGGGCAGGATGTGGGGGTGGGGGCAGCTGAAACACAGCCTGACAGTCGTCTCCCCACCAGCTCCTCCCTCCTTCTCTCTTGCCCCCCCCACATCCGCCCCCTCCCGGTCACGTGCTCCCAGCCAGGGCACCGACGGACTATTTCCCCCTTTCCGCGGAAGGACATAATTGTCATCGCAAACTCTAGTCGCCGCCGACTTCAGCTGTACCACGCCTTTTTCTTGCCCCATAACCCAGGACAGAAAGTTTGCCGAATACGCATTTCTTTAAAGCCCTGATCGCTAACGAGGGAGTGGCCCCTTTAAATGCAAATTAACCGCCTTCTCTCTCGCCCCCCCACCCCCATCCCAACTTCGCTCCTCGTGCCCAGACTCCACCAGCTGCCATTGACGTCACGCGTGCGTCAGCGTCGCCAGCCCAACCAGACGGCACATGGGGGGAAGAAGGCAGACTTAAAGGGCCAGACGCTCGCGGCCTGCCAGGTTTTGGCTATGAGACTTGGCTTGGGAGGAACGAAATGGGATGTGGGGAAATGTCTTGGAGCAGAAAGGAATGCAGGGTAGAGCCGGGCGCGGTGGCTCACGCCTGCAATCCCATCACTTTGGGAGGCCGAGGCGGGCGGATCACGAGGTCAGGAGTTCGAGACCAGTCTGGCCAATATGGTGAATCCCCGTCTCTACTAAAAATACAAAAATTAGCCTGGCGTGGTGGCGCGCGCCTGTAGTCCTAGCTACTCGGGAGGCTGAGGCAGAAGGATCGCTTGAGCCCGGGAGGCAGAGGTTGCAGTGAGCCGAGATTGTGCCACTGCACCCCAGCCTGGGCGACAGGGCGAGACTCCATCTCAAAAACAAGAAAAAGGAAATGCAGGGTAGACGTTTAGAAGGACTTCCCAGAGTAGGAGAGTATATTTGCTCATGGGAGAGAAACCCAGGAGCAGGAGGAGCAGAACCACTGTGAAAGTGGAGGCTTGGCATTTAAGACTCGCCCAGTCATAATTTCAGCCTTTCCCTTATCCCTGCCCCGCATGTGCATAAGCACAAGGACTTCGTTCACTTCTGTGTTGCCAGCACCTAGAACGCAGCATGTAGTAGGGACTCAATTTAAGTCCAGTCCTTCCTCCTTACCTGATGGGGTATTGGTTCCGGGACATCTCCCATAGGAAAATCTGCTGAATCTGTGAGATAGTGTAACATTTGCATGTGACCTATGCGCCACCTCCGATACACTTTAAATCATCTCTAGATAACTTATAGTATCTAATACAATGTAAATGCTATGAAAATAGTTGTTATACCATATTGCTTAAGGAACAATGACAAGAAAAAAGGTCTGTTCAGATGCAATTTTTTTTCTGAATATTGACCATCCAAGGTTGGTTGAATCCACGGATGCACAGTATTTGTAGAATGAATGAACTGATCCATTGAGTCCAATGCAAAGCCACCTCCTTTAGGAGGCTTTCCCTGATTGCTCCACCCAGCATGCATAGCACAAACACGCTCAGCTAAAGACAATTGAACTGTCTTTTGAACGCTCACAGCAAATAATAAACCTGTTGCTTCCTTCCATGCATTAGAGACCATGAGAGCAGTTGTTAAGAGCACAGAACTAGGAATAATATAAACTTGGGTTCCAATTCCATTAATACTGTTTACTAGTTGAGTGACCTTAGACAAGTCTCTTCATCTTAGTTGTAATAACTGTCCTTTGGGGTTAATGCTACTTAGACCTAGACTTGCTGTTTGAATTAAATGCAACCATTTCTGTGAAGTTCTAGTATGGTACCTGTTGCATAGTAAGCATTCAATAATTGTGGGGGGTAGGTTTTAACATGGCCCTCTCCCCTACTAAAGTGTGAGCTTCTTGAGAACAAGGACCTTGCCATCCTGAATTACTCCCCAGCATCAAGCTGGGGGATAAAGGCTTATAATTGGTGCTTTAAAAATGTTTTTGGCCAGGTGCAGTGGCTCACACTTGTAATCCCAACACTTTGGAAAGCCAAGATGGGAGGATCACTTGAGGCCAGGAGTTCAAGACCAGCTTGGTCAACATAGTGAGAAATTGTCTCTATTTAAAAAAAAAAAAAAAAAGGCCGGGTGCGGTGGCTCACACCTGTAATTCCAGCACTTTGGGAGGCTGAGGCGGGCGGATCACGAGATCAGGAGATCAAGACCATCCTGACCAACATGGTGAAACCCCGTATCTACTAAAATACAAAAAAATTAACCAGGTGTGGTGGCCCGCGCCTGTAGTCCCAGCTACTCAGGAGGCTGAGGCAGGGGAATTTCTTGAACTGGGGAGGCGGAGGTTGCAGTGAGCCGAGATCACGCCACTGCACTCCAGCCTGGCGACACAGCGAGACACCGTCTCAAGGAGAAAAAAAAAGTTTCTAAAATGAATAAAAATGACAGAGTGAAGCCGGGCAGGGTGGCTTTCATTTGTCATCCCAGGTTCTCAGGGGCAGAGGCAGGAAGATCCCTTGAGCCCAGGAGTTTGAGACCAGCCTGGGTAACATAGCGAGACATCATCTCTTAAATAAAAATTTAAAACATTAAATGAATATGTGAACAATTTCAGTATTCCCTGAAATTTGACCTCCAAACTCAAATCTGAAGTTGTTATCCAAAGGAAGAAAACATTATAAATACCCCCTTACCACCTGTTGTGCCCCTCTGTGCCCCAGGTTTTAAGGCTCTGTGGTAGAACCTCAAGGTAGAGTTGAGGTTAATCTCTGCAGTTGAACTAAAAGTACTGTATTATGCAAACAAGTCACAGAGGATTGGTCTGCGATGAAGACCTGGGTGGGAAAGGGGGCTTCTGACCTCTCCTCATCCCCGGCTTAGCTACTGAAACCCTGTCCCAAGAAACCCAGGCTGGGCTTCTGCCAAGGACAGCGGACACTAAAAGAGAGCTGGAAAAGGGGAGCTTTTCATCCAAACACTAACCCACCTTTGAGCTTTTCTTCTCTGGAGCCTCATCTTACTCCTCGACCCCGAGCCAGTTCCTCTCCTGTCCCTAGCTCTGGCTCCCACTCCCCACCCCAACCTTCATTCCCTCCACAGCTCCCCAGTGGTTATAGTGGAGGGGGGACGAGACCTCCTATCACCTGGTTCCGGCTCCTTGGCCAGAGGAGCAGTAGCCACCTTGTCCTTGTTCAGCCTGTCTTGCAGCTGCTTATCGATCTGATTTTCAATATCTGTCACCATCTCAGAAGTAGAAGGCCTGACAGGCAACAGGAGGGACTTCCTGCCAGGGGAATAGCTATGATCAGAAGGCAGTGAGAGCCCTCTCTTTCCTTGAGGAGGAGGAAGAAATGGTGAGACCCTCCTCTGGCTGAGAGCAACCTCCTCAACACAAGGAACCCTGGGGGTGTGGGTGGGTTTCCCCCCACAGGAATCTCCCATCAGCCTTGATGTTAGCTCCGCCCCCCTGCAGGGGTGGGGTGACACCCAGGAGCACTGTGTTCCAGAAAACCCCAAAATAACCTGCTTTCACTGTCCGGCTGCTATTTCTGTCCATCTTGTTTAATTATTCAAACCTAAGTTGGGGAGTGAACTATAAAAAGCTCTCCTACTTGGGGACCCAGGAGAGCTGGGAGGCTCGCCAGGTTGCAATAGCAGCAGACCACAGTGTTTGGGTGAGGTCACTTGGTCCGGCCTCCGGCCTAAAAGTTCCTTCTGCTGTTTCGCTGCTTCCTCTGCTAGAAGGCAGAACCCAGGCCTCCCTCCCAAAGTTCCCTTGTGCCCTCACTTCAGCACCCCTCCAGCCCCTATCCTGCCTGGGAGCTGTCCTCCACCCCACCCCACTTGACTCTGGCCATACTTATTCTCAGCTGTCCCTTTGCCAACCTGCTCCCTAGTTCAGGATTCTTAACCCACAGATAATATCATTAGACCCAAACATCAGCAGTGGAGGGAGGTGGGATGGCAGAGGACTAGTTTAGTGGACACAGAGATGGCACCAGGCCCTTGGGTGGCATCACCATCAGCTGGGGGTGGAGAACACTGTTCTGGGTGGGGCAGTTCTTGGCTGTCACGGGTGCTGAGCCTCTTCAGGAGCTTCTCTTTGGAACTCTGACATGGTAGCCGAAGGGATGGAGGTAAGGCAGTCCTTCTTTTCTTTTCTGGGCCTGGTCCTCTTCTAATTGGACTAGGCTGAAGTCCAATGTCAGTTTCCATTGAAACAGAAGCACAGGGCAGGCTAAGTGAGAAAGGCAGGTCTCCCTGAGGGCCACTTCTGTGACCCTCCTACCACAGGCCTTTCCTAAAAAGGTAGTAACAAAGGATTATAGTCATGGTGGCTCTAGCAATGTGGGGTTGTCACAATAAGCAGCCCTTGAGGGTGGGAATGAGGGGATTCTTGCTAGTGAGGGAGAGACTGGCAGTTACACAGCTTGAGCAGGAAGAAGGGCAAGAGAGACTGTGGCAGCCACAGAGACCCAGAGACCCACACATGGACAGGAGTTATAGGATGGGCAGAAGGACAAGGGGCAGCAAAAGTGACACTTGAGCCCCAAGAGAGGGAGAGACCCCAGGAGCAGACCCAGAGACCCACGGCAGACAGAGGGGCAGACAGCCGAGAGCACAGAAGTGGAGTAAGAGGCCCAGTGTGGGAGGGAGACGCAGCAGCCTGGCAGAAGCTGGGGACAGGGGAGCATGGCAGGGCTTTCCAAGAGTCAGTGTGGGACCTGAGTATTTAAAAAAGCCTTGGGTTTCACACTCAGGCCTATTTTGGGGCTTGTTCCCACACATCTCCGTCAGCAGCAGTGGCAGCTCCTGCGAGGTCCAGCCCAGCTCTCCCTTTCACAGCTGCTCCTTGCGCTGCTGGGGGAGGTTGCTGAGGTATGGGGAAGAGGTACGCTGTCGCTAAGCAACAAGAGGCTGTGCACCTGGAGGTCCTAGGAGGAGACCCTGGCACCATCGGTATGGGGGAGGCAGGGAGACAGTAAAGGGTTGATCAAGCTCAAGGCTCCCTCTCCCATCCTCCCCAAGACAGTTACAGAGGAGGGATGTACCCATCGCTCAAGAAGCCTGTTGAATTGGCTCACAATCCTCCAGAAGGCTGCGATTGTGCATGCAAACCTGTGTGACATTCCATAGACTGAGAGTTGGAGAGGGCAGGGGCTAGGGCATGAAAGACAAGGGTGAGCATCTTTCACATCAATCTTGGAGGAAGGTCGAGGACTTGCCTGTCTGCTAAAAGGTAGGAACTTCCATGGAAGTGTAAAGGTCTGAGGGCGGAAACTTAGTAGGGAGGCGACAGAATGGGAAGGGAAGCCGGTTGGACCCTGGGGCAGCCTCCCAGTCACAGAGGCTACCAAGGAGCCTACACAGAAGGGAGGTGGCAGGGCAGCAGGGGCCCCACACCCATCAGCCATCTGCTGGAATTCTCAGTGTCCTCAAAGCTGAAGTGCTGCACTGTATGCCGTTATTTTTCTTCTCTTTTATTATTGTTTTTTGGTGGACTGGAGTTTGAATGAGGTAACGATCAAGAGGGAAAGACTCGTCGATTGACCCTGTCACCCGCCTCACTGCATCTCTAACAGGCCTGTAGCCCTGTAAACGTGAGGAGCAGCTCAGGGTTGACAGAGGGCCATTGCCTCCCTTTTTCTGTCACTTCCTCCATTGCCTCAACCCCTGTCCAGAAGAGCGCACCTTCATTCAACAAGCATGGATCAAGCACTCGTGACGTGCCAGCCAGGGCGCTGGGGAAATGATGAGGGTTGGGTTCCGTGGTGGCCGACACCCAGCCCCTCCTCCACAGTGCCTGTCTCCTTGCTGGTATCTTGGCAGGCTCCCGTTCTCCCATCAGACGCTACACTCACACATGCTGCACATACTGGTGAATAGCTTCTTGCAGTCCATCCTGGCACGGTCCCCAAATTCCGCAGGGAACAGGGTGTGCTTCAGCCCTCTCCCTCTCTCACTAAGGGCTAGGAAGTTTTGAGTCTTCCATCTCACACACCCCAGAGGCTGCGTTGCCGAGAAGACACAGGGGCAATGTGAGGCCTTCTTATTCCTGACCCACGAGAACGATGCCAAGTTGGGGACAAGAAGGGTAGAGGCTTGTTTTGCTTTCATTCCTGCTTTATGCCAGGCACTCTGAAAGGCATTGTGTACACTATTTTCATCATCAGACAATAGCCCATAATACTTTGTCTGACATCTGACAAAGAACGATCAGCCTCATTTTACAGATGGTGAAACTGAAGGAGCATGTTCATGTTCATACAGCACAAAGTGGCTCTGGGATTTCAACCCATAGAGGAGTGTTAGAATAATACCCTCACAAATTCAATGTTGAAAGTGCTAATGAAGTCCGGGCGCGGTGCCTCATGCCTGTAATCCCAGCACTTTGGGAGGCCAAGGCGGGCAGATCACCTGAGGTCAAGAGTTTGAGACCAGCCTGACCAACATGGAGAAACCCCGTCTCTACTAAAAATACAAAATTATCCGGGCGTGGTAGCACATGCCTGTAGTCCCAGCTACTTGGGAGGCTGAGGCAGGAGAATTGCTTGAACTTGGGAGGTGGAGGTTGCAGTGAGCTGAGATTGCGCCACTGCACTCCAGCCTGGGCGACAGAGCGAGACTCCATCTCAAAAAATAAATAAATAAATAATAAATAAATAAAATAAAAAAAGTGCTAATGAGACAGAAAAGGGCACTGAAAGATCCGGTCACCCAGGGACCTCTCAATTGCTCAGATTTGGAGAAGGTGGGGAGAGAAGATTGCGTCAAACAGACCTGAGATCCGATCCCAGCTCAGTCATTTCCAGCTGTGTGACCTTGGGTGAGTCACTCGCTTTTTCTGAATCTCGGTTTTCTCAATGATGATGTGACAGCAATGTTCATGAGGTGCTGCCAAAATTACAATAGATCATGTAAACTATGTGCAATGTACTTCGTTGCCTTGCAGCAATGGATGGCGCCTCTCCTTCCATCCTCTACAGAAGGAGGAAGAGGTAAGCAAGAACAAATTCAAGAGGGTGCAAATCTGCTGGTATAGTATCAGGAAGCCCAAAGCCTGGCAGAGGTTTGTAGAACAGGCAAAGGATAGCAAAAGGCTCTCTCTCAAGGGGGCGTGGGGGTGGGGGGTGGAAGGAGGGCACTGGGGTGGGGAGTCATTTTTGGAGCAAGAGTTTCAAGAAAAGCCAAAAAAGGGACCTCTGCTGGAGCAGGTAGAGTAATGGTGACAGATGACAGAGTGAATAGAACTCCCAACTCCTATTTTCTTCCCATTTCTCTCCTAAGACAGATGTTTAAAGTGGAAATAAGAGAATTGGAGTTCTGAAAATGTGAGAATCAAATCTACAGCCCCATTTGTTCAGTGACTTCCTATCTCCACCCCGTGAAGTTCACCAGAGGCACCGAGGGAACTTGCCCAGATGGTTGTGGTGGCATTGTCCCTGGTGTGTGAGGAATTTTGGAGAATACAAGAGGTGTAAAACTACTGTAGATGAAAATAGGAGGTTCTAATCTTTAAGAAGAGGGAAAGATATTTTCAAAATTCTGGGGTTTCATTACCACAACTGTTGTGGAAGGTTAGAGAAAAAAAGAGGGACCATCAGGAGCTAGATGGGGTTCACTAATTAATCCCCGACTACTCAAGTGAGAATGGGCATCACCTGGGAGACTGTCAGAACGTCAAGAGGATCCCACTCCACTCCGCACCTGTGAATCACAGTTTGCACTTAACAAGAGGCATAGATGAGTCAAATGTACATTCAAGACCAAGATGCACACCATAACCTGTTCGTTTTTGTTTGTTTGTTTGTTTGTTTTTGAGACGGTCTTGCTCTGTCACCCAGGCTGGAGTGCAATGGCGCGATCTCAGCTCACTGCAACCTCTGTCTCCCGGGTTCAAGCGATTGTCCTGCCTCCACTTCGTGAGTAACTGGAATTACAGGGGTGCATCACCATGCCTGGCTAATTTTTGTATTTTTAGTAGAGACAAGATTTCACCATGTTGAGGCTAGTCCCGAACTCCTGAGCTCGTGATCTGCCCTCCTCAGCCTCCCAAAGGGCTGGGATTACAGGTGTGAGCCACTGTGCCCAGCCCGTAACCTGTTCTTCAACCCTATAAGTAGGTGAGTGATTGTAAAGGTGCCATGGAAAGCTAAAAGTTCCTTCAGGAACCTCTTCCTCCAGGAGAGGATTGGAGGGGCACTGTGCAGGGCGGGGTTCTGCCTCCTTTGCCCCATGGTTTCGTTCACTTGTTTTACACAGTGGGCTTCCAACTAAACTTTCCTTTGAAGAGCCGGGCCACAGCCAAAGATGTTTGAAAATCGTCTGTGCTGTGTTATGGAACATCTGTGCTATGGAATGTTGCACAGCCTTACGAGGCATGAACTGGATCTGGGCCCACTGACAGAATGGTCCCAGAGACAAATTGTTTAGTGAAAAAAGCAAGTCTCAGGCCGGGCATGGTGGCTCACATCTGTAATCCCAGTGCTTTGGGAGGCCAAGGCGGGCAGGTCACCTGAAGTCAGGAGTTCGAGACGAGCCTGGCCAACATGGTGAAACCCTGTCTCTACTAAAAATACAAAAATTAGTTGAGTGTGGTGGCAGGTGCCTCTAATTCCAGCTACTTGGATGGCTGAGACACAAGAATCGCTTGAACCAGGAAGGTGGAGGTTGCAGTGAGCCGAGATCACACCACTGCACTCTAGCCTGGGTGACAGAGTGAGACTCCATCTCAAAAAAAAAAAAAAAGAAAAAAAAGAAAGAAAGCAAAAAGCAAAAAGCAGCCGCCAGGCACAGTGGCTCACGCCTATAATCTCAGCACTTTGGGAGGTCAAGTCGGGTGGATTACCTGAGGTCGGAAGTTCAAGACCAGCCCAACCAACATGGAGAAACCCCGTTTCTACTAAAAATACAAAATTAGGACCGGGCGTGGTGGTTCACGCCTGTAATCCCAGCACTTTGGGAGGCTGAGGTGGGTGGATCACCTGAGGTCAGGAGTTCGAGACCAGCCTGACCAACATGGTGAAACCCTGTCTCTACTAAAAAAAAAAAAAAAAAAAAAAAAAATTAGTTGGGCATGGTGGCAGGCACCTGTAATCCCAGCTACTCGGGAGGCTGAGGCAGGAGAATTGCTTGAGCCCAGGAGGCAGAGGTTGCAGTGAGCAGAGATCGAGCCACTGCACTCCAGCCTGGGCAACAGAGCAAGACTTCGTCTTAAAAAAAAAAAACAACAGAAAAACAAAAACAAAATTAGCTGGGCATGGTGGCAGGCACCTGTAATCCCAGCTACTCAGGAGGCTGAGGCAGGAGACTGGCTTGGACCCCGGAGGCGGAGATTGCGGTGAGCTGAGATTGCGCCACTGCACTTCAGCCTGGGCAACAAGAGCGAAACTCCGTCTCAAAAAAAAGAAAAAAAAAAAAAAGGCCAGGCGCGGTGGCTCATGCCTGTAATCCTAGCACATTGGGAGGCCAAGGCGGGCAGATCAGAGGTCAGGAGATCGAGACCATCCTGGCTAACACGGTGAAACCCCGTCTCTACTAAAAAATACAAAAAATTAGCTGCGCGTGGTGGCGGGCGCCTGTAGTCCCAGCTACTCAGGAGGCCGAGACAGGAGAATGGCGTGAACCCGGGAGGCAGAGCTTGCAGTGAGCCGAGTTCGTGCCACTGCACTCCAGCCCGGGTGACAGGGCGAGACTCTGTCTCAGAAAAAAAAAGAAAAAAGAAAAAAGTAATTCTCAGTGCAATCTATAGAATAGGCTATTTATGTAAATAAGCATGTATAGGTATGTGTGTATTCATCAACTATCTATACTAAGTGACTTAAAACAGCAATGACTGCTTTTGGTTTTGGGGATTGACTGGGTTCCACCAGGTGATTTTCCCTCAGAGTCTCATGCTGTTGCAGTCTGACAGGGTTTGGATCGGGGGTCTCAAAGTCTTCTTCACATGTCTGCCACCGAGGCTGGGAACACTCAAGCAGGTGGAGTCCAGAACAGCTACAGTCTCTTTCTCTCTCTGGTCTCTCCTTGTGGTCCTTGTGGTCTCTCCAGCACGGTGGTTCAGGGTAGTCAGCCTTCTTACAAGGAGGACTAGGGCTCCAAGGACATTATTCTGAGATAGAGAGCTAAGGGGAATCAATATTGCTTTTTATGACCTAGCCTTGGGTGTCACCCAGCATCACTGTCATACATTAGTGGAGGCAGTCACAGAGGCCTGCTCATGTTCTAGGGTAGAGGACAGAGCCTTCCACCTCATGGAGAGGCTCCAAACCTCAGGGTTTTCGAAGAGCCCATGGAATGGGAAATGTCGTGGCCATATTTGGAAAATACATTCTGCCAGAATATGAACATATATATGAGGGCAAATGTATAGAAAGAAGGCCTGGAAGGATCTATACCAAATTATCAATAAGGCTTATTTTTGGGGAAGATGCAGATATATTTTACCTTACTTTGTACATATGACTTGAATCTTTTACATTGAGATGATATATACATTATTTCATTTGTTTAATGAGAAGGGAACTCAGAAAAAAATTGCTGTAGGCTTTTTATAATAAAAGGGTTTAATAGATGGTATTTCTGAGGAGTGTTGCATAATGCATCTGAATTTTATGAAAGCATTTCATTAGGTTGATTATATTATCTTTTTAAAAAGATGCAGGAACATGGACAGCATTACTCATTCGTTTAACAAATAGTCAGTGAATGCCTACTGTGTGTTAATGGAACAGCTATACCCAGAAAATCTTGTTAATAAATCTGCGTCAGCTTGGAGAGATATCACTGCTAGCTCCATCCATTGCCCTGTCCTGGTTAGCACTTTTGTCTGGAAAGAGAAAAGTCAGATTTGGCAAGAAGGTGGCTTATTGGCGCAAAAACACTTGAATATATTAGATTAAAACAGTGTCAAATGTTCAGCTCCACTCTTCCATTTATCTATTGCTGTGTAACAGACCACCTTAAAACTTAGAGGCTTAAAACAACATTCTTTCATTATTATTATGGTCCTGGGCTCTACTGGGCTAAACTAGGCAGTTGTTGCTTGTCAGGTCTCTTATGTGGTTGCAGACAGCAGCTGGAGTCATCTCAAAGGCTTCCTCATGTGTCTGGTTGTCAGCTAGGACCTCAGTTGGGAAGGTCAACAGGAACGTCATATAGATGTTGACTTCTCCATGTGGCCTCAACTTCCTCACAGCGTGGCAGTAGGGTTCCCAGAGCAAATGGCCCATAGGACCAGGTGGAAGCCATAAGTCACATAACCTCACTTTCACTGTAGTTAGAGGCCTTCCCAGATTCAAAGGGAGGGACTGTGGATGCCCCCTCTCAATGGGATGACGGATAATGCCCCTATAAGAAGAGCATGAAGGAGCGGAGATTTTGTTATGGACATCTTAGAAAATAAAACCTGCTGGGCCGGGCGCAGTGGCTCATGCCTGTAATCCCAGCAGTTTGGGAGGCCGAGGTGGGTGGATCATGGATCCTTTGAGGTCAGGAGTTCAAGACCAGCCTGGCCAACGTGGTGAAACCTGGCTCTACTAAAAATACAAAAATTAGCCAGGCATGGTGGCCTGTGCCTGTAGCCCCAGCTACTCAGGAGGCTGAGGCAGGAGAATCGCTTGAACCCGAGAGGCAGAGGTTGCAGTGAGCCGAGATTGTGCCACTGCACTCCAGCCTGGGGCACAGAGCGATACTTCATCTCAAAAAAAAGGAAAAGAAAAGAAAAGAAAACCTGCTGCATTCACTAATTATCAAATAAATAAAAACTAATCAATGATGCTTCCCCTTCTTCAAAGAAACAGTTGACTCAGTTAACACAGAGTAAAAAATTCAAGCTCTTCTGTATTAGGCCAGATGGGCTAAGTTATGCTGTAGTGGTAACCATCCCCCAAGTCTCAGTAGCTTAACGTAATAAGTCTCAGTGGCAGATAGTGGCTGTCTTTCTTTCCGGGTTGCTACCAGCTGGTGATAGCTCATGACACATGTCACACTCAGGTTAGTAGGGGAGGCTCTGCTCCACATAGTCACTCAAGGACCCAGGCTGATAGAGGCTCTACCATCTTCTAGCTCCACCATCTGGAACACAGATACCATATCTGGGAAAGAAAGATATGAGAATCGCATATGGGATTTTTATACTTTTTATTTCTTTTTCTTTTTTTTGAGACGGAGTTTCACTCTTGTTGCCCAGGCTGGAGTGCAATGGCACGATCTTGGCTACTGCAACCTCCGCCTTCTGGGTTCAAGTGATTCTCCTTCCTCAGCCTCCCAAGTAGCTGGGATTATAGGCGCCTGCCACCATGCCCAGCTAATTTTTGTGTTTTTAGTAGAGATGGGGTTTCACCATGTTGGCCAGGCTGGTCTCAAACTCCAGACCTCAGGTGATCCACCTGCCTCAGCCTTCCAAAGTGCTGAGATTACAGATGTGAGGCACCACACCCAGCCTTTTTATACTTTTAAAATTTTTATTTTTCTTAAAAAAAAAAAAAAAGTCCAGGTGTGGTTGCTCATGCCTGTAATCCCAGCACTTTAGGAGGCCGAGGTGGGGGATCCATTCAGTCCTGGGCAACATAGGGAGATCCTGTCCTTACCCGCCCCACAAAAAAAAAATTCAGCTGAATGTGGCGACACATGCCTATGGTCCTAGCTACTTGGGAGGCTGAGGTGGGAGGATTGTTTGCTTGGACCTAGGAGGTTGAGGCTGTAGTGAGTCCTGATCATGCCACTGCACTCTAGCCTGGGCAACAGACCGAAAGCCTCTTAAAAAAAAAAAAACCAACAAACATGTGATGGGGTTTGCTATGTTGCTCAGGCTGGCCTCAAACTCCTGGGCTCAAGCGATCCTCCCACCTCGGCCTTCCAAAGTGTTGGGATTACACGTGTGAGTCACTGTGCCTGGACTTATATGGGATTTTTATTGCCTAAGCATGGAAATGGTACACTGTGCTTCAGTCACCTTTCATTGGCCTAAACTAGTCATATAGTTCTCCCTAACTGCAAGGAGATTGGGAAATGTAGCAGAGTAAATGGAGTTATTGGTGAGTGTTTGATGGTATCTGCCACACCTTGTTACAGCCTACAAGGTTATGTCAGATCTGTCCTTCCAGCTTACTTTTTAGACCTTGTCTCCAGGCATTCACACATAGCTCACCTTTTAGCTTCTTCAAGTCATTGCTGAGTTGTCTTCTCAAGGAAGCCTCTCCTGATCACCCTATTTAAAATTGCAACCCATCCCTCACTCCTCTCCTCCACCCTTGAAGTCCCTTACCCTGTTTTTCCTTTTTCCTAGGCACTTATTACTTTTTTTTTTTTGAGACAGAGTCTTGCTCTGTCACCCAGGTGGGAGTGTAGTGGCGTGATCTTGGCTCACAGCAACCTCCGCCTCCCAGGTTCAAGTGATCCTCCTGCCTCAGCCTCTGGAGTGGCTGGAATTACAGGAGCGCACTACCATGCCCAGATAATTTTTGTATTTTTAGTAGAGACGGGGTTTCACCGTGTTGACCTGGCTGGTCTCAAACTCCTGACCTTAAGTGATCTGTCTACCTTGGCTTCCCAAAGTGCTGGGATTACTGGTGTGAGACACTGTGCCCAGCCACAAGGCACTTATTTCTTCTAACATACTAAAATATCTGTCTTTCTCTGCTGCAACGTCAGCTCCACTAGGTCATTGATCTATGTCTGCTTTGTTCAATGATGCCCAAGTACCTAGGGCAGTGTCTGGCACACAGAGGGCACTTAATAAATATTTGTTGAAGGATTAAATTTTTAAAAAAATATTTGCTGCTACCAAGGGTGTGGTTACACTAACACTTCCACACACTTTTAGTGGGACTCTACATTGGCGCAATACATTTTTTAAACAAAACTTTAAATTTTGTACTAATTTTAGATTTATGGAAAAGTTGCAAAGATAGTACAGTGAGTTCCTGTGTACCCCATACTGAGTTTACCCTAAGGTTAACATCTTACATTACTGTGGTACATTTCTCAAACTAAGAAACCACTATGAACATATTACTGTTAAATAAACTCTAGAATTTATTTAATTTCACCAGTTTTCTATTAATGTCCCTTTTTCTTCTGTGCCAGGATCCAGTTCAGGTTACCAAATTGTATTTGACAGCACATATTTTTTAAATGTCCATGTTTCTTGCAGAGAAAGGGGCCCTCTTACCTACACTAGTAGAAAGGCAACTGAGAGGTTTCATAAGCCCCAGCAGAGACAGATTTGTGTTGATTTGCAGCAAAGTCAGTCTGGGCTTCTTTCTGACCCTGGACTACTGGCCCCAGCAGTGTAGACCATTTTCTCTCACTTTCTGTCCCTTCTTTCTTTCTGTGAATTGGTACAGATTTTCTGTAGACATTAGGCCACATGTAAAAAGATCCTTTATAAAGTGCCCCAAGCATCTTCTCATCTAGACATGTAGTCCAATACAGCATTATTTTGTTTTATTTTTTATTTTTTTAATTTTGAGATGGAGTCTCGCTCGGTCCCCAGACTGGAGTGCAGTGGCGTGATATTGGCTCACTGCAACCTCCACCTCCCAGGTTCAAGCAATTCTCCTGCCTCAGCCTTCCTAGTAGCTGGGATTACAGGTGCACGTCACTGGGCACAGGTAATTTTTGTAGTTTTAGTAGAAACGGGGTTTCACCATGTTGGCCAGGCTGGTCTCAAACTCCTGGCCTCAAGTGATCTGCCTGCCTCGGCCTCCCAAAGTTCTGGAATTACAGGCGTGAGCCACCACGCCCAGGCAATACAGCATTAATTTATATACTAAAACTTAAACAATCTAGTTATTTTATAGTGGATGGATTAAGTAGATTATGTTATATCCCATTTAATATGGGAGAATGTTTATAATGATACGTGGAAAAAGCAGGTTACAAGAGAAGATACATAGTGTGGCTCTAATTACAAATATTATTGGAAGAAAATATATCAAAATGTTACAAGTGGTCACCACTTGTTATGGTATCATGAATTATTTTCACCTTTTTTGTTTTTTTATATTTTCTAAATTTCCCACAAAAAATATGTATTATAGTCAGGAAAAAACCTATAACTTTTAAAAAAGTGTATACTCTTTGAACTACCTTCTGTTCTAGTATTCTATTCTAAGGAGTTAATTAGAAATGTAACAAAGGACCCAGTGCAGTGGCTCACGCCTGTAATCCCAGCATTTTGGGAGGCTGAGGCGGGAGGATCACTTAAGTCCAGGAGTTTGAGACCAGCCTAGGAAACATGGTGAATACCCTGTCTTTACAAAAAATAAAACATAAGCTGGGCATAGTGGTACACGCCTGTAGTCCCAGCTACTTGGTAGGCTGAGGTGGGAAGATCCCTTGAGGCCAGGAATTGGAGGTGGCAGTGAGCCGTGATGGTGTTACTCCCTCCAGCCCAGGCAACAGAGTGAGACCCTGTCTAACAAAAAGAAAGAAAAAGATGTAACAAATATTTTGTCTACAAAGATATCCATTACATAATTACTTATACTAGTGAAAATGGAAAACAATTCAACATTGTAGGAATGTTAAATACATATGGGCTATATTATAGGCATTAATAATATTTTTGAAGAAATTTTAAAGACAAAGGAAAATATTTTTCATGGCTAAGTGAATAAAGCAGAATCTAAAATTGCATATACAATATGATCTCAGCTACTCTCAACTCGTCTCTTTATTTTTTATTGTAAATTGACAAATTATAATGCTATATAAGTCTCTCTAGTTTGATTCAACAGAGATAATGCATTCTTATATCACATTATTAAAGTATGCCCTCTAGAACAGTTCTCAAACTGTCTGTAGTGAAGGATGCATTTTTAAAAATTTCCAATCTTTTATGGACTGATACTTTTGTGAAGTGCAAGAAATACTAGTTACTAGAAAACTGAAATAAAAAAGACCTATTAAATACAAGCCTCAATTTTTAAAATTATTACATTCAGATGAAAAATTACTGGCAGTTCCTGTAAGCTTCTAAATGTTTGCTCTCAATTATTGCATTTATCTAGTTGTGGACCAGTAACAGCTTGTGGAGCCCACTTTTAGAAGCACTGCTCTAGCAGAAGCAGCATGCCACTCTGTCATGTTGCTCACATCTGGGCAACAGAGGGAGATCCCATCTCTAAATTAAAAAAAAAAAAGAGCAATATAAGCTTATCGTAATAATAGTACAAGAAGAGCCTTCTTCTCATCTCTACTCTCCAAAGGTGACCACTGCCAAGCTTCTTGTGTATCAGTCCAAAATGACAGCTTTCTACATTGGCACACACAGATCCACCTCATTTTTTTTTTTAAGAGACAGGGTCTCACTGTGCTGCCCAGGCTGGTCTTTTTTTTTTAAATTTAATTAATTAATTAATTATTTTTGAGACAGAGTTTCGCTCTTTTCACCCAGGCTGGAGTGCAATGGCGTGATCTCAGCTCACCGCAACCTCTGCCTCCTGGGTTCAAGCGATTCTCCTGCCTCAGCCTCCTGAGTAGCTGGGATTACAGGCATGTGCCACCATGCCCGGCTAATTTTGTATTTTTAGCAGAGATGGGGTTTCTCCATGTTGGTCAGACTGGTCTTGAACTCCCGACCTCAGGTGATCCACCCGCCTCAGCCTCCCAAAGCGCTGGGATTACAGGCGTGAGCCACCACGCCTGGCTTTTTTTTTTTTTTTTTTTTGCCTGTTGTCCAGGCTGGAGTGCAGTGGCGCAACCTCAGCTCACAGCAACCTCCGCCTCACAGGTTCAAGCGATTCTCCTGCCTCAACCTCCCGAGTAGCTGGGATCACAGGCACGTGCCATCACACCTGGCTAATTTTTTGTATTTTTAGTAGAGACAGGGTTTCACCATGTTGGCCAGCCTAGTCTTGAACTCCTGACCTCAGGTGATCTGGCCGCCTCAGCCTCCCAAAGTGCTGAGATTACAGGCGTAAGCCACCACACCTGGCCTTCCCAGGCTGGTCTTGAATTCCTGGGTTCAAGTGATCCTCTGTCCTTGGCCTCCCAACTGCTGGGAATACAAGCGTGATCCACCATACCCAGCTTCCAGCTGATAATTTTTATTGGCTGCTTAATGTTCCATTGTGTGACTACCCTACTGAGTTTATTGCCAATACGAACAATACTGCAACAAATCCTCCAGAGCTCTTTGCCCACATATCCAGGTATATCCACAGGAAAAAGTCCTTGCTGGGTATGTGCACTTATACTAAGAAAAACAAGCTTTATTGAAATATAATTCACAGACCATACAATTCACCTTTTTAAAGTATATAATTGTGTGATATTTTATTATACTCAGCATTGTGCAGCTATCACCACTAATTACAGAACATTTTTGTCACCCCTGAAAGAAAGCCCATACCCATTAGCAGTCACTCTCTGTTCTCCCCTTTTCCCGGGCCTTTGCAATCACTGATCTACTTTCTGTTCCTATGGATCTGACTATTCTGGACATTTCACATAAATAAAAGTATACAGTATGTGGCATTTTGTGTCTGGCTTCTTTCACTTAGCAGCACATTTTCAAGTTCATCCATGTTGTAGCATGTGTCACTATTTCATTCCTTCTGATAGGTGAATAATATTCCATTGTATGGAGATACTACTTTTGTTTATCTACTCATCAGTTGATGGACATTTGGATTGCTTCCATTTTTTGGCTATTATGAAGAGTGCTGCTATAGATATCCATGTGCAGATATCTGGGTGGACATATGCTTTCAATTTTGTTGGATATATACCTAGGAGAGGAATTGTTAGGTCACATGATAACTCTATGTTTAACATTTTGAGGAGTGGCCAAATTGTTTATCAAAGTGGCTCCACTATTTTAACCCTTCCAGCAATGTATGAGAGTTATTTCTCCACATCCTCACCAACACTGATCATTGTGTCTGCTTTATTTTAGCCATCCTAATGGGAGTAAAATGGGATCTCATAGTGATTTTGATTTGCATTTCTCTAATGGCTAGTGATGGCCAGGCCCAGTGACCCTGGCCTGTAATCCCAGCACTTTGGGAGGCCAATGAGAGCAGATCACTTGAGCCCAGGAGTTCAAGACCAGCCTGGGCAGCATGGCGAATACTTTGTCTCTACAAAAAACACAAAAATTAGCTGGGAATGGTGGCGAATGCCTGTAGTCCTAGCTATTTGGGAGGCTGAGGCGGGAGATCACCTAAGCCTGGGGAGATCAAGGCTTCAGTGAGCCATGATCACGCCACTGCACTCCAGTGTGGGTGACAGGGTGAGACTTCGTTTCAAAAGAAGAAAGGCCATTTGTATATGTTCTTTTGGGAGAAATGTGAATTCAAATCCTTTGCCTATTTCTTAATTAGGTTGTCTTTCTATTGTGATGAGTTCTTTATATAGTCTGGATATAAATCCCTTATTACATATATGATTAGCAAATATTTTCTCCCACTCTGCGGGTTTTTTAATTTTTTTTTGTTTTATTTTTATTTTATTTTTTGAGATGGAGTCTTGCTCTGTCACCCAGGCTGGATTGCAGTGGTGTGATCTTGGCTCACTGCAACCTCCACCTCCGGGTTCAAGTGATTCTCCTGCCTTAGCCTCCCAAGTAGCTGGGATTACAGGCACACACCACCACGCCTAGCTAATTTTTGTATTTTTAGTAGAGACGGGGTTTCTCCATGTTGGTCAGGCTGGTCTTGAACTCCCGACCTCAGGTGATCCACCCACCTAGGCCTCCGAAAGTGCTGGGATTACAGGCATGAGGCACCACGCCTGGCTTAAAATACATATATTTTTTAGAGATGGGAGTCTCACTATGTTGCCCAGGATGGTCTTGAACTCCCTGGACTCAAGCAATCCTCCCATCTTGGCCACACAAAGTGCTGGGATTACAGGTGTGAGCCACCATGTCTGGCCTTTTTTAAAGAGTTTTATAGTTTTATCTCCTACAGTTAGGTCTGTGGTTCATTTTGAGTTTATTTTTGTATCTGGTGTGGGGTAGGGGTACGACTTCCTCCTTTTACATGTGGATTTCCAGTTGTCCTGACACCATTTGTTGAAAAGACTACTTTCTGTTGAATTATCCTGGTACCCTGCACTTAATTTTTTTCATGCCACCTTGTCTAAGAAGCACTTATATTTTTTATATTTCCAAATTGTCCTCCAAAGAGGTTACACTGGCATATAGTCCCATTCATAGGAGCTAAGAAACTGTATCTCAGATTGGGCATTGAAGGTTAGCAAGGACACTAATGAGCTCAAGCTTATCAGGGACCCACAGCAGAGTGGAGTGTTGGGGGAGCTTGAGAGTGTCACAAAAGGGGAGGTTGAAGGAAGTAAAAATGTTTCTCAGAGAAGAGAAAAAATGCTGGGGAATGTATATCTGGTGGGCCTGAGTTTAAAGCCCTGTTCTGCTCCTTTCCAGCTGAATAGCCTTGGGTAGTTATCAGATCCAACTCGGAACCTCAGTTTCATCATGTTAAACCAAGATGAAGACCACAACAACCTTTGTAGGGTTGTTGTGAGGAGTAAATGTATGTAAATATCCCAGCCCACGACAGACTCTCAGTAACGGTAGCTATTGTGACATTTCTATATGTGGTATATGTGGCTGAGATCATGTGATTGTGGGGGAGCATTGCAGCCATTTGGTGAGTATGAGATTTTTAATGATGGCTGATCACATGTAGAAACTTGGATCTACTGGTAAATGTCACTGTCACCCAGAGCAAGGCAGTACTTGAAGTCTTTGCTGTGACATGTTAAGGGGGGGGAGAGGCTGTGACTGAGATTGGATGTGACAGCAAGACAGATCCTGAGTGACAGAATGGAACGGAGTGGAGGGAGGCAGACTGCACCAGGCAAAGGTGTGTCCCCAACAGGAGCTGCCTGGGAGTTCAGATGTCAGGGCAGGTGTCTGTCTCTACTGTCCCCTCCCCAACAGACTTCCCTCCCTACTTTCTGAAAGCAAGGAGGAAAGGAGGGAGCTTTCCCTTCAGAAAGGAGATTTTGATCAGAGTGTAGAATCTACAATACCTAAGGAGTTATGGCTTAAGCACCTTTGATATCACCACCCAAGGCTCAGGAAAAGAACCTGCAGGAACTGTGTGTAAAACGGGTGGGGTAGAAATTAGAGTGGCTTCTCTTCTCAGCTTTAGTCTTCAGAGTGGCCGATAAAAACAGAATAGAAACCTAAGCATTCCTTCCTCCTCTCTGTCCCCCGGGGGAAGGAAGAGAGAATAAATGCCACATCTCATTAAGCTTTTACGATCTCAGGCAGGCAGAGTAGGACCACACCGGAGGCAGGCAGAGGGCTGGGGGAGGCTGCAGGAAGGATTCCCCAGTTCTCTCAGGGAGCTGTGTTCCAGAACTTAAAGGCCGGCTCTACAGAAAATGAAATAAGGGTTAACAACAGATGTGGGAGTAACAGCTGCTTTTATTAACATCAGAAGGGCAACAGTACAGGAAGTTGGGTAGATGTGGGGACAACAGAGAGACTGTGGCAGAGGCAGGACTGCAGATCTATGGAAATTGCCTGGAAGAGTCAGCTGTAAGGGATGAGAATCCTGAGGGTAAAAGAGAAAAGGGAAAGACTCCTCTTTGATCTTATGAAGCTGAAATAACAAGATCTTAAACATGAGTGAGAATCTGTTGCCCCAACCTAAGGTGACTTTAAATCCAAGGTAAAAAACACGGCATGGGTATTAGTTTGAATAGGGAAAATGAGAACTCTCTTTGAGCTCAAAAAAAAAAAAAAAAAAAAAAAAATGAAAGCGTTAAAACCCTGATTAAGTCTGCACAATGATCCAGAGTGTAAGGATGGGAGAAAGAATAAATACCCTAGTGACCCACATATTAAACAGACCACAGACAAGAGAACAAGACTTGAAGCTAATGGAAGGTCATCTTGCCCATGCCGCCATGGGGGGCAACAGTGCCACAATGCCACATGGGCACTAACACACACTGCATCCCCCCAGTCCCTGCCCAGGTTGGAGGGTGTGCAGATCACAGCAGCAGAGCTGCCTAGACTCAGGAAGGGCAGGAACACCCACTGCTGATGCAGTGGGAGGTAGGGATGGGGAGCCTGGCCCTGGCTTTGTGGGAGTGCAGAGAGAAGGAAGGCAGAGGGGAAATCAAGCCGCTGGGGCAGTGCTTGTAATATTGGGGTGACTGTGGGAGGGCAGTAGCAGACACAAGAGTAATGGCTTTCCCAGGTCAAGGTCCATGTCCTACCATCTGGCAGGAAAGCCAGGGGTTTGTCATGCATGATAAAAGCCACACAGCTGGACTCTGGGCAAGGCCCACTTTAGCCAATTAGAAGATACACTGTCTGTGGCCAGGCAGGCAAGCTCCTCCCAGCTGGGGAAGGGGTGAGAATCCCTGGGCCTTGCCCAGTCCTGAGCTCTAGGTGTCTGCAGGGAAGCACAGTGGTGAGTTAGTGTTAAAGAAAGCATCCAGAGAGGTAAGAGGGGCTTGGGTAGCACCCTTTGCCTCTGTCACTTCCGCAAAAACTTCTTGTTGAGGAGGAAGATGAGAAGGTTGACATTGACTTTGGCCTTGTTGAAGAGTTTCATGACAGCCACACCCTCATACTGGAGCTGCAGGAGATCCTAGGAGGGAAGAGGCAGGGAGGGGAGTTTAAGGGCTTCTGAATGTGGTCCAGTCAGATGGTGTACAAAACACTCACATCATGGGGCCTTCTGCAGTCACCAGTGGCACTGGCCACTGAAGTAGGGCATTGAAATCCCACTTCACAAATG
This sequence comes from Homo sapiens, assembly GCF_000001405.40. Taxonomy (NCBI): domain Eukaryota; kingdom Metazoa; phylum Chordata; class Mammalia; order Primates; family Hominidae; genus Homo; species Homo sapiens. The sequence goes on from NW_025791758.1 coordinate 85,307, forward strand.
AGGAAACTGAGGCAAGAGAGGTACAGTGACTTGATCAAATGTCAACTCAAGCAGAACCAGGGCTTGAAATTGTTTTTCTTATTTTATTTATTTATTTTTTTGAGACGGAGTCTCACTCGGTCTCCCAGGCTACAGTGCAGTGGCGCGATCTCGGATCGCTGCAATCTCCGCCTCCCAGGTTCAAGCGATTTTCCTGCTTCAGCCTCCTGAGTAGCTGGGATTACAGGCAGGTGCCACCACGCCAGGCTAATTTTTGTATTTTTAGTAGAGACAGGGTTTCACTATATTGGCCAGGCTGGTCTTGAACTGCTGACCTCGTGATCCGCCCGCCTCGGCCTCCCAAAGTGCTGGGATTACAGGCGTGAGCCACTGCACCCGGCCAAAATCATTTTTCTTACTCAAAAGGTAAAACATCAGAGCAAAAAGATTTGGATTAAAAACTACTGCTCGGCTGGGCATGGTGACTCATGCCTGTAAATCCCAGCATTTTGGGAGGCTGAGGCGGGCGGATCACAAGGTCAGCAGTTCAAGACCAGCCTGACCAACATGGTGAAACCCCATCTCTACTAAAAATACACAAAAAGCCGGTGTGGTGGCGCACGCCTGTAATCCCAGCTACTCAGGAAGCTGAGGCAGGAGAATCGCTTGAACCCAGGAGGCAGAGGTTGCAGTGAGCTGAGATTGCGCCATTGCACTCCAGCCTGGGTGACGGAGTAAGGCTCCGTCTCAAGAAAACAAACAAACAAAAACCCAAAAAAGCAACAACAACAACCACAACCAAAAACACCGTTGCTTCACTCCTTTCCTGAACACTGGCCTATGACTTAGCCAGCTTCTTAACCTTTTAGCCTAGAGCCTGTAAAATAGGGATAATACTTCAGAGCTGTGGAGAGGATTAAAGGAGGTAACATGTAAAGTCCCTGACATGTGATAGGGCTTCAAATATTAATCCTGCTTCTGACACCAGTAGCCCACTCCACTCTCCCTGATGCTTGCCAGTGGGGTCTGTGTCAGGGCATGGGGAAAGGGGGGCTTGGGCTGCACAGACCCCCACCCTTCTCTTCAGGAACAGACGATACTGATTGGGTGAAAAACTGAGCTGGTGTCATCTGAGGACTAGGAAAGTGAGGCCAGCTGCTCTCTTCAGGCCAGCACCTAAAGCCCAGCAGATGTCCTGCAGGCTCATGGGACTGTCCCCTCACCTGATAGTGAAGCTGAAATCGCTCCATGTCCACACCCAGGAACTTGGCATTTACTTCAAACTTTCCTGCCTCATCTCCCGGCGTGATGTCAAAGATGACGTTTCTGAAGCTGTCAGGAACAGGATTCAAAACAGGAACCCACTGCCTCTTTCCAGGGCTACAGCCACATTCTTGCACCCACTGCTCCTCATCCTGGGCAGCGGTGTCATCCAGAACCAGTTTTCCCTCTGTCACTCCCAGAGGGCCCAGCTCGCTGTCTTCTCCATTTTACTTCTGCTCCCCACACCATCTCTTTATCTGCCCCGCCCTACGCAGCTGTTCTCACCTCTGGAAAGCTTTCCCAGTACCCTCTGCCTCAGGGCATCTAGAACTGTGCTAGACCATGTCCACAGCCCTTCACTTTCTGTCTGGGCATGCTCTGTCTCCACCATCATTCTAGCAGCTCCTTCAAGATCGGGACCATGCTTCTTCTCTTCCACCCGGTGCCCAGCCCAGAGCTCCACCCCCAGGTTAGAGGACAGGAAGGGGCTGACATCCTGCCCTCCAAAGACACATACTGAGAGGCGGGAAGATCTTCAATTTCCACCAAGACACCCTTTTCCAGGAGCTGAGCAGCAGTGTAATGAAGAGAAGGCTGCTTCTTCCCCTTCCCAGAACTCCTGATTAAAAGAAGGCCCCAGAGAATTCATCCAATAAACACTTTACCACCAAAGAAACTTGTTTTCTGTGGCTGGAAAGGAAATGAGACCCCGAGGAAGACTTCTCACTGATGGAAGACAGAGGAGGGGGGCTGCACTTGAGCCCAAGACTTTGTAAATGAGGCTCAAAGACCAGACTTAGGAAGGGACTGTGCTGTGCTGGGTGAGATTCCCCTTTCAAAGCTGGGAGATAGCAGGGCAAAGGTGACATGGGCAGGGGTGAGAAGTCACTCGTAACCTTCCAAGTACGGGAAAGCAGCACCTACTTGGAGTCGGGGGCCAGGTGGTCCAGGCAGGCCCGGATGTACTGGCTGTAGTAGTCACCCTGCTCCTCATAGAAGGTGGTCTTAGTGCTCAGGCCCTGTAATGTGGCCTGCAGCTTCACCAGCTCTGCCTTCCGCCTGTGCCTGTGTCTGTGCTGGTTGCGGATGTCCTGGGGTTGGGGAACAGATGGAGGGATGAGTGGTCCTTCCTGGCAGGAGAGCCTTAGGGCCTGACACAGGCCCAAGAGCTACACACTGTGAGGCTCTTCGGAAGAACAGGCTTCAAGGCTGTTTTCCTAGAAGGAAAATCTCAAGGATGGTATTCCAAATCCTCAAGGCATGTCCTCAGGGCCTCTGCCCGTTGAGGACTAACTGGTTTCAAGGCTGTTTGTTTTTTAGTAAAAGAAAGTTGCAAGGATACTTTTGTAGGTCATAAGCTGAGGATTGGGTTTTCATGCTCTTGTGTGAGATATGCTTCTCTCAAACCTTCTGACCTGGGCACATTACCCAGCTAATGTGGGGAAGAAAAAAAAAAAGAGAGTTGCAAGAACACCTTCCTCTCTAACTAATTTCAAGATCTTTCCTTCAGGCTAGGAGTGGTGATTCACACCTGTAATCCCAGCACTTTGTGAGAGCCTAAGGTGGGCAGATTACTTGAGGTCAGGAGTTTGAGACCAGCCTGGCCAACATGGTGAAACCCTGTCTCTACTAAAAATACAAAAATTTGGCTGGGTGCAGTGGCTCACACCTGTAATCCCAGCATTTTGGGAGGCCAAGATGGGCGGACCCTGAGGTCAGGAGTTCGAAACCAGCCAGGCCAACATGGCCTGAAACCGTGTCTCTACTAAAAATACAAAAATTAGCCGGGCATGGCAGCGCGCACCTGTAATCCCAGCTACTTGGGAGGCTGAGGCAGGAGAATCACTTGAACCCAGGAGGTGAAGGTTGCAGTGAGCCAGGATCACACCACTGCTCTCCAGCCTGGATGAGAGTGAGACTGTCTCAAAAAAAAAAAAAAAAAAGAAAAAAAAATCTTTCCTTCAAAAAGGACCCTCAGCCTTCCTCTGGCTGGTGACAATTTTGGGTGAGGACTCATCAGGAGGGGCCCACCAACACTATGGATTAACATGTATATGCACGCACACACACACACGTACACACAGGCACACGGAGCCCAGGCCCAGGTTGTTACCTTGGCCAGCTCGTCCACTAGCCCCTGGTAGCCATTTCTGGCGCTGACCAACCCCAGGGCTTCAAGTCGGCGTAGGTTCCGCAGGACGCGCCGCTGCTTCTCTGCCAGTGGCAGGAGGGAGTGAGCTGTCAGTGAGCGGTGTCGTCGCAGTGGCTCCGGTGTCTGGGCTGTACAGGCCTGGCGTCGGCTCATCAGCTGCTTGTGGGCTGCTTCCTGGGGACACACAGACGCTGGAGGGGTCTACCAGGTCCTACCATTCTGCTCCCACACCAGTGAAGGTCCCATGGGCACCAGCAACAAAGGGAGGCCTGAGCATTTTTCTGCATATCATTAAGAAAGTGCCCCAGAGCCCAGCCTCTGCAGGATATGGCTGGGGCAGGGCATCGCTTATGAAGAATATCAAGGTATAACACCATAATGCATGGTGTCACACATGGGAGGGCCTCATAGATCACCACAGGGGAAGAGTGGCCCAAAGGAGAACCAAACCCAGGCCATGGCATAAAGGATTCCGGACAGACACTAGCTGTGACTTCCCAACAATGGATCTTTCTGACGGCACAGGATGTTTGGGGGCATTTACCTGTCTGTTCTGTTTTGGGACATACCTCTACTGGCCATCCCCACCTTTTCTTTGGGAAGACCCTGGTTCAGTCTTCACTCCAGCGGGCCCAACCTGCCCCTGGCCCCCCACCTGCCTACTACCTTCTCCTGCCTCCAGGCATTCTAGCAGACCACTCTTCTGAGTGCAGGCCTTCCAGGGGAGCATTCCCAGACGGTCTCTCAGTGCCCCCCATAGCCCTAGTGTTGGTGCTTGTTTCAGTGTGTGAAGTGGGGAGAGGGGTGGGGCCCCATGACTCTGTAGCCCGAGGCTTCCCAAGGCTAAAGCTGTATCCCTCATCCTGTAGGCCTCCAGAGTTCTCATTACTGGTGAGCACAGGTGTCTGCTTCTGGCTGATGTGGGTGAGGTTCAGAGGAGGGAAACAGCAGCGGTGCAGGTGGGATGAGGTGGGGGATGAATGAGACAGAACCTGTGGGCCAGCCCGGCTACTCACTTGCTCTCTGGAAGCCGAGAGGGACAGGATCTCCTTGAGGGTGTCCCCAGGATGGAACTGTATGATATCGGCCAACAGCTGCTTGGTGCTGCACAAGGAGGACAGTGACAGAGGAGAGGTAAGGGGCAGGGGAAGGGCCTGGACATGGGACTGGCCAGAGGTCTGAGAGTAAGTGGACCGTGCTCTATAGCATGGCTGCTAGGATATAAGGAGAGAGAGCGAGGGATAGGGGATGTCGTTGCCTGGAATACCTTCCCAACAAACTATCTGCCTTTGAGTCCTTCAGCTGAGCACACATGTCCTTCCCACCCAGCCATCCCTTCTCCTTAGCTCTCAATGCATCTGACACCCACCACCCTCTTGGTGGTGCTCTGTGTTCAGCCCTAGCCCGATCCTGCTCTCAGCCCTTTGATGGCAGGACAAAGATGATACTCAGCTCACTTGTTTTTTTTTTTTTTTTTTGAGATAGAGTTTCACTCCTGTCACCCAGGCTGGAGTGCAATGGCATGATCTCGGCTCACTGCAACCTCTGCCTCCCAGGTTCAAGTGATTCTCCTGCCTCAGCCTCTCAAGTAGCTGGGATTACAGGTGCCTGCCACCACACCCAGCTAATTTGTGTATTTTCAGTAGAGATGGGGTTTCACCATGTTGGCCAGGCTGGTCTCGAACTCCTGACCTCAGGTGATCCACCTGCCTCGGCCTCCCAAAGTGCTGAGATTACAGACATGAGCCACCGCACCTGGCCAGCTCACTTGTTTATTGAGTGAATGAGTGGGTGCAAGGGGTTGCCTTGTTGGCAGGAGCTTGAGCTGGCACTTTGGCTCCTCTTCTGCCCAGATGACCAGCTCACCCCTACTGGGAGTCCTCCCTCACTTTTGTAGAACTGGGGAAGAAGAGCTCCATGCCCATCTCCTGACCATCACACTCAACAAGAATGCGGAATTAGGCTGGGCGCAGTGGCTCACGCCTGTAATCCCAGCACTTTGGGAGGCCAAGGCAGGCAGATCACTTGAGGTCAGGAGTTCAAAATCAGGCTGGCCAACATGGTGAAACCCCATCTCTACTAAAAATACAAAAATTGGCCGGACATGATGGCGAGCACCTGTAGTCCCAGCTACTCAGGAGGCTGAGGCAGGAGAATCGCTTGAACCCAGAAGGCGGAGGTTGCAGTGAACTGAGTTCGTGTCACTGCACTCCAGCCTGGATGACAGAATGAGACTCCATCTCAAAAAAAAAAAAAAAAAAAAAGTGGAATTAGAACATGAGCTCTACAACCCACTGGCTGTGGAACTTTGGATAAATCACATAACTACTGAGTCTTTCCTCAACTATGAAGAGGGGAAGCCACCATCTACCTCATAGCTTGTTTCTAAGAATAAACGATAACTTATTAAAAAAGCATTTGGGCCAGGCGCAGTGGGTCAATCCTGTAATCCTAGCACTTTGGGAGGCTGAGCCAGGTGGATGGCTTTGAGGCCAGGAGTTTGAGGCCAGCTTGGGCAACATGGCGAGACTCTGTCTCTACTTGAAAAAAAAGAAAAAAGCATTTGGTAAACAGCACGATATGCAAACACCTGCTGTTGCCAATATCTTCACCATTCCTTTACTTTCAGTACAACACAGAGCAAAAAGCTGAGGATACCAGATGGAAAAGAGCCAAGGCTGCAGCGAGGGGAATAAAGGTAGGCTTCAGGGAGAACTTCCTGAAGGATAAGGGAGCCCAGGAAGAAGGTGGAATGGGCGCCTCAGAATAAGGCCATTTTACTGGCCTCAGGGCTGGGGAGCTCAGGTATGCAGGGGCAGAGGCTGGCATCACCCACCTCAGAAGCAGGCTACGGGTGTTGGAGTCATCAGCATCTGCCTCTAGTCCTTCAAACTTGTTGGTCAGCGTCAGGGACACTTCTAGCTTGCTCAGGTCCGTGTGCCCATCTGCAGCGATGCTCTCACCTGAGGTGTGGTGAGGAATGAGAGGGAGACAGGCATACACACACACATGCGCACACACACATACACACACACACATGCACCGATGGGGTCACATTAAATCAGCTGCTCCACATGCCCCTCTTCCAGGAAGTTTTCCCACACTGGCCTGCAGAACTACCCTGTGTCCCCAACCCTTAGCACCGATGGAAGGGCTGTTACCCACAGAGCATACCCTTGTGTTACTGGGGCTGTGCCACCCCCACACCCTCAGCCCTGGGTGCCCTGAGGGTAGAGGAGCTGTGCCTCCCTGAGCCTGCAGCTCCTGGTTCTCTCCAATCACCATCTTCATTCTGTCCTTCCTCCCAGTAAGTTGGCTTCCTCCTATTCCATGGCCCGGAAACCCCTCCTTCTCAGAGAAACCTAATGAGGCCCTGATCCCTGTGCCTCTTTCAGATCATTTCATTGACCGTTTTCCATGATGATCGTGGGTCCCTCTACTGTCTGTCTACCTTCTCCACATCAATCTGTGTCCCTGTGCCCATGTCAGGACCAGAGGGAGAGTATGGAACTAGCCGCCTGGCACAAGACCTAGGCTGCATGGGCACGCTCACATGCCCTGCCTGCCTGCCTGTCCCTCCCTCCATGCAGGTCCCCTAGCTGGCCTCAGCTGCTAAGGAGGGCACGTACCAATAAGGTCAGGGATGGTGGGCAGCTCCCCAAGATCCTCCAGGAGCTCATGCAGGGGGTCTTGGTGATCAGGGGCAATGCAGTCCTGGTGCTCCAGCAACAGCTGCAGGACGGAGAAAGAAAAGGAGATGCAGGGTCTGAGCCAGGTCTTCCCTCTGGGGCCAGCCCACTACCCCATCACAGGCTACCAAACCCTTGCCCACCCAGCCAACACCCTCCAGATCTCAGCCCCTCACCCTGTGCGTGTTGACCAGCTCCCCCACGGTGATGTACACCATGGGTTTGGCCACAGCCACCATGTCTGAGTACTCGTCCACTGCAAAACGCTCCTCTGGCTCTGGCACCTGGCAGGCTCTATGGATGAACTTCCTGTCCAGAGGGCGGGCATGTGAGAGAGCGGGGAGGGCCAGCACCCCACACATCTTCTGTCCCCATCATTTCCCCAGCCTTCTCCAGTGATTGCTCAGGCCAATTTGGACTCTCCAGTCTCAGCTTCTGCCCTCTGTCCTGCCCTACCTCTGTCCCAGTGACCCCTCAAGACAATCTCTCTTAATAGTCTCCTTTTCTCTCCACTGGGGAGTCCTTCCAACAACCTATCCTCCACCCCGCTCATTATGCTCATCCCTTCTATTTATGCCTCTTGTCCTCATGGATTCTGGAGGGGACAAGTGGGATGTCAAAGGTGAGAAGAGGGAAGAAAGGGGACAGAGAGGAAAGGGACCCAAGACCTGAACTTGAGGTGTGTTTCCTCCAGATAGTCATTCAGGACCCGTAGGTGCTGGCTCTGCCCAGAGAAGGCCTTGCCAGCCGCAGCGTGCTGTAGGAGCTGAGCCACAGCCCCCAGGGCATGGCGCTGGGGGGCAGCCAGGGCTCCACCAGCTGCCATGGCCACAATGTCGAAGGCGTCAGGAGCCACCACAGCTGGGTTCAGGAAGCGGTAGTACAGGAGGTTCCCGACCACCTGAGGGCAAAGGAGACTCTCCCAGAAGTGTCCAGGGGCCGCCTTGACTGGTGCGGCCCCACATTCTCAGCTTGCTTGGCTGGAAGGGACACCTGGGCCAACCCCCTCACTTCAAAGAAAACAGGCCCAGAGCAGGCAGACAACTTGCTTAAGGCCACACAGCAAACCTGAGCAAGAGCTGGGACTTGAACCCAGATCTCCTGACAAGAAGCCAGTGTTGCCCACTCTGTTCGCTCACACCCCAGCATGAGCCATCTGCCACCTGAAGCCCTGCGGGTGAGCCAGGCTCCATTTATAGGGGGCAGCATATTTCCCTCCTTGGATTTTTATGGCATAGGATTTTTTGTGTTTTTGTCTCAGTCTGGGGATTGCAGGTACCAGCAAAGCAAAGGAGGGATTGGGAGGTGGGGGTGGGGAGACAACACTTGCCTTATAGACCTCGCTGTCTGTGGCGTCAGGGAATTTCTCTGCCAGAGTTGCCTTCAGGACTTTGGCCACATATCGCATCCCATACCTGGGGACAAAGAAACAGGTGCGCGTGGCTGTGCCTCTGCCCATCTCTCTCTGCCAGAGATAAGAGCTTGAGTGCCTGGCTGTCTCTTCTCCCCCAGGCTCAGCCACTCCAGAGTAGAGCTCAAGCACTGTCCCTCCACTAGCCATAGCCAGCTCCCTGCTGCCTTCCTCCAAACGTCTCTGGGCCTTGTCCCTTCCTCCTGCCTTATGTCAGTAGTCAGGACCAGGGCCCTATCATCTACTAAATCTCTCACACAGCCTCCAACCTGGCTCGAGAACCTCTTCTTTGAGACTCTCTGGGTCCCCTGCAGAGCACCCCAGCTCACCATAGCCATCCCCCATCCCCCAGAGGCACCATTAACCTAAAGCTTGGGTATCTGACACTCACAGCCAAAACCCTGTCCTAGGACAGCCTAGGTGGCTCCGAGGTAGTCAACCTTGTCAGCTGTCACAGAGCATCTGTGAGTGGCCTAGTCTGGGCTAGAGGTAGGGCCCCAAGGAGATCAGTGAGCCGGGAGGAGAAGCTCCAGTTTGGACTCCACCACCAACCAGAGATATTATCTTAGACTATTTCCTTCTCCTTTGTAAGTCTGTCCCCTGGTCTAGAAAATGGGAATGATCATTCTTGCCTTCTCTTCTCACAGGGCTTTTTGAGGATCAAGTGAAATTATGTCTGCGAGAGTAACGTATAATGGTAGAGTACTATTCAAATGTGCTAGACTGTATTATCATTATTATTCCTATTATGGATGTGCCACCTACAAATGTAATTAAATTCATTTAAAAGCAATTTCCACTCCTAGGGTACCAGAGACAGAAGTTTACAGCTCATTGTGTACTTTACTTTCTTAAGCCTAGAACAATCTTTTCTTACTCCTAATTGTAAACTCTTAATCCGGTTCTCCAGGTTTGGGGAGCAGGGTTATAAACTCTGTGGGTTCCCCCTTTCAACATCCTCATCTTGCCCTGGGCATTCCAGCCTGGGCAATGGAGTGAGACCCTGTCTTAAAAATAATAATAATAAAAAATAAAGAAAAACAAACAAAAAAAGAATGAAAGCCTGTCATTTTCGACAACATAGATGAACGTAGAGGTTCGTGTTAAGTGACATACATAAGCCAAACACAGAAGGACAAATACTGCATAATCTCACTCATATGTGGAATCTTAAAAAGGTGATTTCACAGGAGTAGAGAGTAGAATGGTGGTTACCGGAGTCTGGGGAGGGTAGGAGAAGGGGAGAGAGGATGGGGAGAGGTTGGTCAATGGGTACAAAGTTACATCCAGGTAGAAAGAATAAGTTCTGGTGCTCTATTGCACAGAAGGTGACTATAGTTGATAATAATGTGTTGTATATCTCAAAATAGCTAGAAGGATTTTGAATGTTCTCACCAAAAAGAAATAAATGTTTGAGGTAATAGATATGCTAATTACCCTGATTTGATCATTCATTGCACAATGTATACACGTATCAAAACATCACACTATACCCTATGAATATGTACAATTATCATGTGTCAAAAATAAATGTAGAAAACCAAACGTATTGACTAAATTTTAAGAAAAGAGAGAACTATAAAGTACTTTATGGGCTTAAAATATTTATTTTTGATATTGGGAACTGAAGAGTCCCATTTTCTCCTCATTTGCTCTTAGCTAATAAAGTGTCCCTGAGATCATTTTAGGGTCCCTCCTCTGGTTCCACTGACATCCTACCAGGCCACACACAGACTTGCACGCCGTCTCTCAGCTCAGCTCTCTAGCAGGAGCTTCGAGCATTCCCCACATCTCTTCAGGAACCCCTCTGAGTACCCCTGGCTCCATCTCCCTCCCTGCCTTCCTCCCTGCAGGACTATCACCCTGCTCTGCTCCCCATGGTGGCCTGGCCCTCTTGAAATCCCATGCGTAGGCTGGGGTGGGGCTGTTGCACATACGGAATTTGGTCCACAGATGAGGTGATGGCTAAAAGGAACTTATCAGTCATGGCGAGGAGGTTGCGTAGGGCGATGTCCAGTCGTCTCTGGACCTCGGGGTGGCTCAAGGCCTGCTCCGGGGTGACATCATATGGGAGATGGCTATGAGCAGAGAGAGACAAGGTGTAAGCAGGAGCCCCCTCCAATGGCCTCCTTCCCCAAGGCCCTATTCCTTAAACGCTTGTCTAACAACAAGATCTCATACAGATGTGCTAAGGACAGCTCAGCATGCTAAAGGAGAAAGGGCCAGAATGAGAGAAAGGACTGGAGAAATGCAGTCGGGAGGTAAAGAAGAGTTGGAGTATCTACAGGGAAGCTGGAAGAATGTAGGAAGGAACAGAGAACGTGGAATCTAGGGACCCTTCTAAGGGGAACAGATGACAAGCAGGCGGCTGCGCTGCAAATAGTCTTTGGGAGTTTGGAATAATGGAGAGGCTGGGCCAGAGCCTTATAGTTCCCTCACCTAAAGCCTCCTGTGCCATCCAGAGCAGCCACCAGGATTGCCTGCTCGCCTCTGTGGCTAGGTTTCCCTAGCACCTAGGGACCTGAGTAATGACCCCAGGCTATAAGGGCAACCTATCTCTCCCACTATCTCATTTGCCTATTCATCTGTAAATAGAAATATTCTTCTATACCCCTATCAATAGGAGTCCATATCCTAACTCCCAGCAAATTTTTTTTTTTTTTTTTGCGGGGGGACAGAGTCTCACTCTGTTGCCTAGAGCTGGAGTGCAGTGGTGCAATCTCGGCTCACCGCAACCTCCCAGGTTCAAGTGATTCTCTTGCCTCAGCCTCCCGAGTAGCTGGGACTGCAGGAGTGCGCCACAACACCCGGCGAATTTTTGTATTTTTTATTTTTGAGACAGAGTCTCGCTCTGTCGCCCAGCCTGGAGTGCAGTGGCACGATCTCGGCTCACTGCAAGCTCTGCCTCCCAGATTCATGACATTCTCCTGCTTCAGCCTCCCGAGTAGCTAGGACTACAGGTGCCTGCCACCACGCCCGGCTAATTTTTTGTATTTTTAGTAGAGATGGGGTTTCACCATGTTAGCCAGGATAGTCTCGATCTCCTGACCTCGTGATCCGCCTGCCTCGGTCTCCCAAAGTGCTGGGATTACAGGCGTGAGCCACCACGCCTGACCTACATTTTTAGTAGAGATAGAGTTTCACCATGTTGGCCAGGCTGGTCTCAAACTCCTGACCTCAGGTGATCTGCCCACCTTGAGCCCCCCAAAGTGCTGGGATTACAGGCGTGAGCCACTATGTCCGGCCCTACTACCACCAAATTTGACACATCATTTGCAAGCACTGACATAGCAATTAAGCACATTTGCATATTCATCTGTACTCATTTTATGTTAAGCCCACCAGGTCTGAAGTCATTTACATCAGTTTCATGTTAATTATCAGAGGGGGTCTAAAAGACTACCTTATTCATGCCTACAAAGCTGGTGTCATATTTGCATAGATCAGCATGCCCATTTATATGCCACCTTCAAAGTACACCCAAGCTTCCCCAGTAGGGTCCAAGACACAGCTGATCAAGACACAGCTGATCAAAGAGAGCTCCTCCCTCTGCCCATGTGCTCACCTGCGCTGCCCTGTCTGGGCCTCAGTCTGGTTGATCCAGTTCTTATAGAGGTGGACAGGGTCTGTGTGGACGCTGAGCACTTTGTCTTCTAGCACATCCTGGATAACCTTGCCCAGAATCTCCTGCAGGGCACTCTGTCCCCGCCCATTACGGTAGAATCTCACCACCAGCCTCACCACTGTTGGGTTGCCTGTCACCACGTCCTGGGGCTGCTCCACCTTTGACCTGTGGTTTAAGAGGTCATTGAAACCAGTCTTCTGCCTCTGTGTAGGACATACCGTTGCTTTTCCTTTTTGAGATTTTGGCTCTCAAAGCCTGCCCTGGTGTCCCCGCTCTTAAGGAATGTCTTGATATCTCTCTCATCCTTTGTGTTAGCATGTCAGCCCATATCCTCCCACTGTGCTGTCCCAGATGTTTTACGGTTTCTCCACAGGAGGTAGAGAAAAGAGGTCTTCTGATTCCATTTCTACCCTTAGGCCTCAACAAGTTGTCACCTTGTGAAGGAGCCAACAGGGGGATCTCTTAACCCATTCTCTCCCCATTCCTTTGTGTCTGGAGAGCCTACTTGATTTCCTCCTGGAGTGCTGTCTTGAACAGCTGGAGCAGGAGATAGGCCTCTCGGCGGCTGGAGGCATAGTTGTACAGGCTGAAAATCACTGCCTCCATGAACTTGGTGGTTTTGTTCTGTGGCATCTGAAAGATCAGCTTGGCCAGGTAGATGGGCTGAGTCTGCAAGCAAGAGGGGAGACAGGAATGGCTGACCATGCACTTCAAGGACCAGTGATAGGATAAGGAAAGGCTTTCCCCTGATGGAAATCTGGAATGGAGAAAGCACTACCACACTTTCTCCAGGTGCTAGTAACATTCCAGACAAACAGGGGAAGAGGTAGTCTCCTTTCCTGGGGATAAGGAATTAAGATTATGGGAAAGGACACCTTGCATGGTGCCAAACGCACAGACAAGAAGGCCTTGAAGTCTCAGACCCTCAGGAGACGGGAGAGACTTCTCCTTGGAAAGTCCTCTGCTAACCTGGAGCAGGTAGAAGAGGTGTTGGTATGCTTCTAGTTTCTGCCGTTTCTCTTTGCTCAGCGACTTTAAACCCTTCTGCTTGTCCAGAACCATCATATCTGACAGCTGTTCCTTATTCCTCTTGGTCAGCTTCTTGCAGTGGGAGACCACTTCCTGCAGGGGTGGAGGAGCGGGTGATACAACTAGCCTAGGCCATCCCAGGGCACAGAACATACGGTCTAGAATCAGTGCCTTGAAGAGCCAGGGCTTTCTGCTGTTCAAGGAACAGGCATAAGCTGGGGGACAGAAGCAGTTCTAGGGTGAGGAAGGGCCCCTCCAAGTGCCCTGAGACTCCATCTGTTTCCTCTCCTGTCATGGGAGTGAGTCCCCAAAGAGAACTGGTTTGCCAGGCTGAGGAATTGTGTCTATTTGGCTTTTGCTATCTCTTCTTATTAGACTGCTACACACATTTGAGGTGGAGCTATCACTATATCACTATTACCCTGTCACTGCATATTTATATGGTAATTTATGATTTAAACAGCTTTCATATCTGTCTCTATATTTGGCCTGGAGAGGTGGACATTCTCATTATTCTCAGTTTGCTAATGAGAAAACAGACTTAGAAGTGAAATGAGCACCCACAGCCCCATCCCTGGGAATCAGCAGAGCCAGGCATTCTGATTCTAGGTTTCATGCTCTTTCTACTCTGTCATGGGTCCCCCAAAATGATTTATTAGAATGGCAGAGGGCCACTGGAACAAGGACCTGAGTCAGGTGACAAAATCCACAACATTTTGAAAAAAATTGATTAGCAAGCAGAGAATGGTCAGCATCACATCTCCAGAGGCAGGCAGATCTCGGGGAGGGGAGGACTGGTGGGCCCCATACCTGCAGAGTGATCCGGTTCTTCACCAGCAGGCCAATCTTGATGTCCATGATGTTGAGGTCCTGCTCCAGCTGCTGATTGGATCGGATCTTCCTAACTACCTCTTCCTGGAGCTTCAGCAGCTCTGCCTCAGCCAAGAAGTCTTGCTGGCTTTGATTCAAGAGATGGGCAAATCTGCGTACCACACTGAGAGGAGGGTGGGGTGCATGCACTGGGAGGAAGGGAGGAGGCATCAGGATTAGCCATGCCTCATCAGAGGCCTCCTCACCAGCCCCTGCCCGAGTCAGCCCACCCCAGTCCCCGTTCTGCTTGGGATCAGCAGGTCCCCAACCCCAGTCCTCTTCTAACTGGTTCTGCTTGCACTTGGAGGGCAGTGGGTAGCCTTCTAGCCAGGCCTGTCCCTGAGCTTCCTGTCTTATAACTGGAGATGACATAATAGCTGCTCTTCCCATGCCTCTGATTCACCCCAGCCTGGGTCTATCCCAGGGACCTCTGACACCAAAGCCAGAGCCACAGCTCCCTCTGATTATCCTCCCAGACCTCCCTAGTCTACCCCAATCTACCACTCACTTCTGCTGGGCCAACCTGCTCCTCCTCCTCCTCCTACCTGCCAGCCACCACTCAGCCCTGCTTGCTCCCACAGTGCTCCTCTGTCAGGAATGTCTGTACACACCGGGAAGGACAGGTAGACGGGATGGACAGTGGGCTTTATAATTTAGGGGAGGTCAGAGCTAGCTGGTGATTCTCCTTGAATCACCTTTGGAATTGGCATTTGAGCAAAAAAGAAAGAAGCCTCTGAGCTAATTTATTGGAAATAACAACAAAACAACTAATACATAGAATGTTTACTATGAGACAGAACCTGTTCTAAGTACTTTACGTACTTAAGACCACCTGTGAGGTCAGTACACTATAACTATCCTCTCTTACCGATAATAACTCTGAGACTCAGAGAAGGTAAGCAACTTGCCCTATGTTACACAGTTAGTAATAAATGAAGGAGTCAGATTTGGAAGATGAATAAAACTAGTCCCTGTCCCTAAAGGCAGTCTAGTAGGGGAACTAGACAAATAAACCACAATTCACTGCAGTGTAGTTAGCACTTTGAGAGGAGCAAGCATGGGGATCTTTGGGAAAACAAAAGTGGGTTGCCCAACCCCACCTGGGGAGTGAAGAGACA
The DNA here is from genome assembly GCF_000001405.40 of Homo sapiens. Taxonomy (NCBI): domain Eukaryota; kingdom Metazoa; phylum Chordata; class Mammalia; order Primates; family Hominidae; genus Homo; species Homo sapiens. Next base: position 100,443 of record NW_025791758.1, read on the forward strand.
CTGCAAGGAGGAGGTGAGACACCCCAGATGTCGGTGAAAAGGAGGCAGAGAGGGTGAATGTGGGGAGTGCTGGAAGTCCACTGTATCTGGAACACAGTGCAGAAGGTGTAGGTGGTGAGGGGCAGGTCAGTGAAGTTAGAGGTGTAGGGAAAGGCTGGATCACAAAAAGCCCCAAAGCTGTGATTAGGAGGTTGGACTTTATCCTCAAGGCAACAGGGCATCATGATAAGTCTTAAGGAGGTGAGTGACATGATCACATGTACAGGTTTAATGGATTAATCTGGCTACAGTAGGGGAACAAATCTTTTTTTATTTTTATTTTTAGACAGAGTCTCGCTCTGTTGTCCAGGTTGGAATTCAGTGGCATGATCTCAGCGACTTGCAACCTCTGCTTCCTGGGCTCAAGAGATTGTCCTGCCTCAGCCTCCCAAGTAGCTGGGATTACAGGTACCTGTCACCATGTCTGGCTAATTTTTGTATCTTTAGTAGAGACAGGGTTTCACCATGTTGGCCACGCTGGTCTTAAACTCCTGACCTCAGGTGATTCTCCTGCCTCAGCCTCCCAAAGTGCTGGGATTACAGGTGTGAGCCACCAGGCCCGGCCTGGGGACAAATCTTTGAGGAGTGAAGAAGGGTAGAGGCCAAGACAATTCATGGCATCTTGGATTCGATGAAATACAGCATATTAACTCCTCAAAACAACCCTACAAGATAGGTATTAGCATTATGTCCAGTTTATAAAGGAGAAAAGTGGGCAAGAAGGAAGTTAATTGGCTGGGTGTGGTGGTTCATGACTGTAATCCCAGAACTTTGGGCAGCCAAGGTGAGTGGATCACTTGAGCCCAGGAGTTTGAGACCAGTCTGGGCAAAATGGGGAGACCCCCATCTCTACAAAAAATCAAAAAGTTAGCCAGTTGTGGTGGTGTACGCCTCCAGTCCCAGCTACTCAGGAGGCTGAGATGGGAGGATCGCTTGAGCCTGGAAGGTTGAGGCTGCAGTGAGCCGTGATCATGCCACTGCACTCCAGCCAGGGTGACAGAGCGAGACTCTGTCCTAAATAAACAAATAAATAAATAATCAATTAAAAAAAAAAAGGAAGTTAAGTAACTTGCCAAGGGCCACACAGCTAGTAAATGGTAGAGCTCTGAGTAAAGTCTGGGGGCCAGTGAAGTCAGGAGACAGCACTAGGGAAAAGCAAGTTCTTCCAGAAAAACCATAAACTGAAGAGAAGAAAAAGAAGATAAAGAATGGCCAGGACAATGGTGTTAGTGTAACCACAGAGACAAAATAGAATGGGCTAGGCTGGGGATAGGGAAGGAGAGAAAGAAGCTTGTTGACAGGAAGCAGATGGCCTGAGTGTGCATGGCCAGAGAAGGGACAGGCAAAGCCCCTGTGGGCAGGACAGGGGCGAAGAAGGACTGAGGAGGTGAAGGAGAGGATTCCTGAACAGGACATCTCACCAGAAGCCCAAGAGTGCAGCCTCAAGGCCAGGAAGGAAAGGGGCCTACTGCTTCAGGAACCCAGGGGCTAGAGGTGAATGTAGAAATGGACTACTTGTCAATTTCACAAAAAGGAAGGGGATGCCATTTGCTGGGCTTCTGAACTTGAAGAACAAGAGCCAGAAAGGATCTCTTTAAAGCTTTAAATGAGCACCCAACTAATGGGGAATATGGAGCAGGAAGATGGCACTCCCTTGGGTGCTTCTCACATTCTCCACACCACGGAATAGATGTACTCTGTGTGCCTCACCAGGCCTTGTTTGTGCTGGGCCACAGAGGACTGGAGAGGAGAAGGTTGAACCCTAAGAAAAGAAGCAAGATCCTTTTCTTTCTGCTTTGGTGGTAGCAATAGGCAGATAATCTAAGCCTGTTCCAAAAAGAGCCTGGTTAGAAGAACTTTCACGTGACAAGGCTATCTGTGATTGGGATGAGCAGGGGGGCTTTTGTTACAACTCCTGTTCCATGCTCCTGCACAGACAACTTGTGACTACCTTCCCCTTACCTGCTGTGCAGTCGCAGAAGGATGTCTAGACCTGCCTGGCTCTGTGGGGTCCTCTCCCTCCCAACAGCTGGGGAGGGTGGATCAGGCAGCTCACCTAATATCCTGTAGTCATCTTGGGCTTTCCTGGCTCGGAAAAATGCCTGGATCTTCACAATGGAGTTAACCTGCCACAAACACAGATTGGAAAAGGGTTGCTGGCTGTCCTTGCTCTAGTCTCATGGGCAAAGGTTGGGTATGTGGGCAGGGGGAACAAGGTGACACTCACATTCTTCTGGAAGTAGTGCAGACGCCTCAGGTATTGCCTCCGAGCTGCCCACATCCGGGCCCAGGCCTGGATCTGGGAGAAGAAACACACTGCCTCAGCTCCAGCTTGGGGCCCACCCTCACTCAGTCTCAGGCCAATTCAGCTAAATCTAGAGGTCACAAGAAGGTGACAAGACTACAAGATTGTTCTCAGACGGTCCTTTGAGAGAAAGGAGCCTGCCAAAACCACCGTAGCTACCTTGATTATGGCATCCAGGTTTGCTTTAAAATACTGCAACCACTCCAGGTAAATCTTCCGCTGCCTATAACCCCGCCAATGAGCCTGCACATCAGGAGAGAAAGGGAAGTAACTCAAGCAGGTCTCCTTTGGCCAGAAAGGCTTTTAAGAAAATCTTTGTCCTGGGCCCTCCAGGGAATGGAAGGGGGCAGTTAAATAGAGGGGGAAGGGGAAAGTGGCCCTGTTCTCAAAGAACTTCCAACTTCATGGGGAAGACCAAATGGCTTCACATAGCCAACAATGCCCTCTGCCATACTCCCTGGTCCCAGAACAAACACCCACATACCCACACCCACACACCTCTAACCAACACCTCTTCACAGAAACTCAACTATAAGATACAGTCCTAAAAGATAATAAAGCATACACCTACTCATCAACTTCACCAAAGTATGTACCATATCAGCCTAAAATATACTCATACACCCATATGCAGACCACCCACACACTATCACACACTCCACCCTCCCTCATGTGCACAGAAAGTGGGCAGAGAGCAGTCTGGAAATGCATGCAGTTGTGTGGATGAGAAGTGTGTACAGGCACAGAGCCGTGTGCTCACCATCTCTGCCCGCGGCCACCTGGGCAGCAGGTCACTAATGCTCTCATAACTCACATTCTCTTTAAAACACAATCCAGCTCCTGACCCTAGTTCTCAGCAAATCTTCCCACCAAGGTCCCCAGTAACTCAGCTGTCAGGCTGATGGCCTCTCCCCTAGCTGATCTGCTGCAAAGGGCCCAACCGACGTCTGCACAAATCATGCCTCCTTTGGTCTCTAAAATCTCAAGGCCCTCTTCCAATCCAGTCTCCTTCCTAGGAGACTTTTCCCTTTCCCTCCAAGCTTGTGTGGGATTAATTTTCCTAAAGTACCTCTTAGACTATAGACTATCCCAGCCTGTTTCCAGAAGTTCTCAACCATCTGACCCAACACTCCCTATTTGACTTGCCACTGGTCCCCACCTTCTTAAGGATCCTAGATGCATCAGACTTTTCACTTTCTTGTAAACATGCCTTATGGTTTTCTGTCCCTGAACCTTTTATACTCACCTTTGTTCCCACTGAAATACTTCCTGTCTTTTTTTTTTTTTTGAGACAGGGTCTTTCTCTGTCACCCAGGTTGGAGTGCAGTGGTGCTGTCATGGCTCACTGCAGCGTCAACCTCCTGGGCTCAAGTGATCCTCCTGCCTCAGCCTCCTAAGTAGCTGGAATCACAGGTGTGTGTCACCATGCCTGATTACTTTTTTATGTTTTGTAGAGATGGGGTCTTACTATATTGCTCAGGCCAGTCTTGAACTCCTCGGCTCAAGCAATCCTCCCACCTCGGCCTCCCAAAGTTCTGAGGTTACAGGCGTGAGCCACCATGCTTGGCCCTTCCTGTCTTTTAGGCCCCATGTCCAGCATCTCCCAGTGCACAGGCCCTGGGAGATACTCTACCACTGACATTGTCTCAGTTTGGTAAGACTTGGGAGCAACTCCTTTCATTCAGTTGCCCTTAGCCCTTCCTAAAGCCAGTTCTGCCAGCTTTCCCTCAAGGCTTACACGGCCCCTCTGTTGGGATAGGATGTAAAAGAGGATAGCTTGGTCCATGATGCCAGCTGTCCATGTTGGAGCCTAGAGGTCAGGAAGGCCCATTTCCAAGCCTGCCCTCAGGACTCTTTCCTTTCCTCCTCCAGGTACTGACTGGAAAGTTGCTGTGGGAAAAGGCAGAGTGGTCTGCTCTCTGCTCTTACTCACTACCCAACCTCCACCAGGCTCCTTAAGGCCTCTGAATTGGTCAGAATTCAGGATCCTGGATGGGGTTCTGGCCAGGGTCAGAGCTTTCAGGAGATAAAGTCTCAGCACACCCAGGAAGCCTCATTTTGGATTTTCCTTTCCCCGGGCAAGAGGCTCAAGGCTCTGGGCTACCCCTCTCTTTCTCTGTCTCCCAGGACCCAGGCCAGAGCCCACACAGCTTTGGTACTAGTGACAAATGTTCCCTCTGACTCCATCTTCTCTCCCACTGTTGGTGTGGTTTTTCATCGCCTTAGTGTGAAATTCCAGACTGGGCTCAGGAGGGAGAAATCCCTATGATTCAGACCACTAAATACAGATCACTAAAGTTCTGTATTGAGTTCTGGGACCAATGCCCTGAAAACAAAATCTCATAATGGCTCCCATCAACGGAGCACTTACCATGCTAAGTGCTACATGTAATTTTCCTACTGAATCCTCCTAATCAACATATGAGGTGAGTACCATCATTATGAATGAGGAAACCGAGTGCTAGAGAGGGCATAAGTAAGGTGCCCAATGTCATATGACCCAGAAGTGGTAGGACCAGGAGGCAAACTCTACCTTCTGACCCCAAAGCCTGAGCTCTCAATTACCCCCCAACACCCTCAGTCATAATCAAGGGCCATTTGCCAGTCCTGATCTGCACATCTGTCTCCCTTGGTGTCCTCTGGTGTTGTCTTCATGTCCCTCCTATCACAATGTCTGACATCAAGTGTACTCCAATTTCTGTGAGGGGAGAGAAGTGATTACTCACCCGTGGGCCTTGCACCCATCTCCCACCCTTGCTTAGTGCCAAGTGGCATGCTCTTGGCATTCAAAGAAGTTTGTGAAAGCATCTTACATTGCCAGCACCTCCACGAGGCCCTCCAGATCACATCTGCCTGGGAAGGTATCTGCTCAATTGCCATCATTCCTGGCTTGCTTGCACAGTGTCTCTGGCTATCTTCCCTACCAGCCTCATGTCTCAATTACTTATGGGTCAGTCTCAGAGGCCACACTGGACCATCCACGGGTTGGAAGAATAAAAATGGGAAGGGCTGGTAGGAGAGGAAAGGTAGAAGGCTATTCTCTTCCTAAAGGATATTCCACCCCTTTTCTGTTTAACCACCACCACTTCTTCGAGCCCTCCTAGTGTCCTAGCCTTGATGTCTTACTAAACACACAGACACACAGACACAGACACACAGACACACACACACACACACACACACACACACACACACAGACACACACACATTTTTAGAGACAGGGTCTCGCTCTGTTGCCCATGCTGGAGTGCAGTGGTGTCATTATAGCTCATTTCAGCCAGTACACTGCCCTCTAGCCTGGGTGACAGAGTGAGACCCTGTCATGCAATCCTCCCACCTCAGCCTTCTGAGTGGCTGGAATCACAGGCATGAGCCACTGCGCCCAGCTAAATCTTATTTCACTCTTCCCTTGGGGAAGCTAAGAAGCAGCTCTCACTCTCTGGATAGTGACGATAATGATATAAATAGCATGGTAACTTCTAACATGTTCTTACCTACCTCCCAGGCACAATTTATAAACACTTGAGATATTACCTAACTTAATCCTCATAACAACTCTATAAGGTAGGTGCTATCGTTATCCCCATTTTCAGATGAAAAGACTGAGGGACCAGTGAGGAAACTGAGGGAGAGAGGGTAAGTAACTTGCCAGGGTCACACAGCTAAGAGGTGGTAGAGCTGGGATTCAAACATACATGGTCTGGCTCCAGAACCTATGCTTTTAACCACTACTATTCAGAGGCCGAAAGGTCATTCCCATGTCAGTAAAAAGGAAGCAGCGTGGATACCCTGGAGCCCAGATAAGCCCAGGCCCTGAAGACTGAGAAAGCCAGAGCCTGCCACCTGGATCTTGATGACTGCTGGGAGCCAGGTCCTCAGAAAGTGGGAATGCTCAGCAAACTTCTGCCGAACTAGGAAGCCACGGAGGCGGGCCTGGAGCTGGATAACAAAGCCGACGTTGGCTTTCCAGAGCTGTTGGCGGTCATAGGCAGCAGTGACCTTGGTGACAGCTGACTGTGGAGGCAGGAGAGAGACGCTGTGGTCTTTTGGGGAGTGGGAGCCTCTTCTTCAGGACATTCCTATCCAAGATCCCCTACCCTTGCAGGGGCTCTGCCAACCTGGATCTCCTCCCGGGTCAGGTGAGAGGTGTTGAGGGGGCAGCCAGGAGGTTGCTCCCAGATCCCCTGGAAGGTCTGCAGATGGAAGTAGTAGGCAGTGCCATCCTTCATGTCATGTTGAACCCAGAAAGCTGTGTCTGCTAAGCAGAAACCAAGCAAGCAGAAAAGGTTCAGAGCAGGCAAGGGGTGGCTGGGGCAGGCAGCGAAGAGGAGGGTCAGGTTGGGGCCATTACCTGGACGCTGTTTCTTTGCCATGGCACTTTCCAGGGCTCGCTGGTAGCCGTTGGCACAGTCGGGAACTACCCCTCGAAGGGCCACTGCGGGGTTCCTCAACACCCGCTCAGTCTGGGCTGCCTTGCCCTCCTTGATGGCTTGATTGATGGCAGCCACACCAAGAGCCACTGACAGGGGCATCAGGAGAGAGCAGTCAATCCTTCCCCCGAGTCCCTCCCATGGGCCTTGGCCAGTCCACTAGGGACAGATTCCATGAAAGAGGACACAAAATCACCCTTCTGAAGGAGTAGACGGGAACATCCCAGGATGGACAGAGACACATGCATGAAAAGCAGCAGCATGCAACTGTGCTTGGAGGGAAAGGCAGCAGCAGTCAATGAAGCACTCCTGAGGGAGGCAGCGTGGGGCTAGGCTGAGTTGGGGCTTGATAAAAGGAAAATCAGCTTGAACAGAAGCATAAAGGCCCAGAGCAGTGGCTCCTGCCTGTAATCCCAACACTTTGGGAGGCTGAGGCAGGCAGATCACTTGAGCCCAGGAGTTTGAGACTAGCCTGGCCAACATGGCGAAACCCCATCTCTATAAAAAAATACAAAAATTGGCCAGGCACTGTGGCTCACGCCTGTAATCCCAGCTCTTTGGGAGGCTTAGGCGGGCAGATCACCTGAGGTCAGGAGTTTGAGACCAGCCTGGCCAATATGGTGAATTATATGTATTATATGTGCCTACTAATAATACAAAAATTAGCCAGCTGTGGTGGTGGGCGCCTATAATCCCAACTACTCGGGAGGCTGAGGCCCAAGAATCGCTTGAACCTGGGAGGTAGAGGTTGCAGTGAGCCAAGATTATACCACTGCACTCCAGCCTTGGTGACAGAGCAACACTCTGTCTCAAAAAAAAAAAAAAAAAGAAAAAAAAAATTAGCCAGGTATGGTAGCGCATGCCTGTCCTCCCAGCTACTCAGGAATCCGAGGTGGGAGGATTGCTTCAGAGGTTGCAGTGAATGGAGATCACAGTACACTGCCCTCTAGCCTGGGTGACAGAGTAAGACCCTGTCTTAAAAAAGAAGCACTTTATGCAGGATATGGGCAGAGGACCCTGGGACAGTTTCTTAGAAGAGAGCCTAAGAGGTGGGAATGGCTGCTGTAGCATCTGCCTTCCACTCACTAGCAGACAGACAGATGGACAGGGAGACCCCAGCCACTGAGAACTAACACCACCAGCACCAAACATCAGCACACCCCTGTCTATTTGCACTGAGTCTGCCTGTTTTCCTCAAACTCCTGCCAATTCCTCTTCTCTCATTCCAAGTCTAAACATTTTCTAGCCAGAGCTGATTGACTGTTGGAACCCAAACTCAAGCTACCAGCAGAAATGGGATTTCTGACTACCGCATGATCTCACATGCCCACATTACAGGGAAAGTGTTCACAGGAAGGCATAGAGGGAGGCAGCAGGTGAACTATGGATTCTCACCTCCTGAGAATGTCCTGCCCTGCTGACTGCCAGGAAATCCATCCTGCAGTCTGAACAGCAGCCCTCCTGCTCTGACTCTGGCCTGCCTCCCCACAGAGGTTGAAGGGAGAGGGTGGTGACCAGGGAGGCTGCCTGATTATCTGGGCTGCTGCTGAGCCCACATCACCATCCCTCCCCTCCCAGGGTCCCCCAACCAGTCCATTTACTTCTCTGAGCTGTATTAGTGTCCTGGTTGGCTCTGACCACTCCCTGGCGGATCTCCTCAAGCCACAGCACAGCTCCAGGATCCCCTGTCACCTGGCAGATTGAGGGAGAAAAAAAAGATGTGACCCCAAGCTAGTCTCTCTAGGTTCCCAGGCCAAGATGCCCAAGGGAACCAAACTGCAGGCAGGCATTGGGAGCCACAGGGACAGTGATCTCCACTCAGCTCTCTGCCCTGTGTGTGGGCATGTGTGGCATGTGGTTCCCTGGGACGCGGCCAGGCTCAGAAGGCTCTCTTATCCTATTGGGCTTTCAGGTCTACTCGGCTTGGCCACAGCACCTCCAGAACCACAGAGGCTCTGCATAGCTCCTCAAACCCTCAGCATCCACCACCTTCTCAACAGCTCAATTCCCTGCTCTTATGCCTCAGCCATGTCCAGGGATAGCCTACGCTGGAGGCTCCAACTACCTGCCCCCACGCCCCACTCCCCTATGCCTCATTGCACACCTTCTCAGGCCAATCCTGACCCTGACCCTTACCTTCTCTTTCCTTTTCTTGCTCCACACTCCTCTACCCGACAAGGTAGTGGGAAGATTACATGAGCCCACAGGTCAAGTAAGCCTATGCCTGCCACACTGTCAGACTGATAAAGGCTTGAACCCTTCCTTGCCTCACACAACCCCAGATTCTACTCCTTCCCAACTCTCCTCAATAATAATAGACTTTGTAAACTAACATTTTATTGAGTACTGACTATGTGCCAGGCAGTATTCTAAAGCACTTTCTTATGCATTAATACTTGTAAAGCACATAAAATGATGCTTGGCACAGAGTAAGGACTCAATAAATGTTAGCCAGTACTACTGTCATATTATCTCACTTACACCCCATAACTATGAGATACACTCTTTACTGCCACAAGCTTCTAGGTGATGAAACAGAGGCACAGAGAGGTTAAGTAACACGTGCAGGGTCAGGCCGCCAGGATGTAGGCTCCAGTAGTCTGGCCCAGGAGTCTGAGCTCTCAACCACTCTCTACTGCAACATACTCAGGGTGTTTCAGGTTCAGAACCCTGCCCCATTTGTCAATTCATTTGATTTTCACCCTCATTCTGGGAGCTGGGTAGGACCAGCGTAGGCAGTACTTTACAGATGAGTAAATAGAGCTCAGAGATATCAAGGGATTTGCTCAAGGTCACATGGTCACTAAGGGTCAGAGTGGGAAATCCAGCCTGTTTCTCTGGCTCCCAGGCCTGTGCTTTTCCCATGGACTGCCCACTGCCCTGGCAACAGGGCCATCCTTCTTTACCAGATTGGAACACCCCCCTCACCCCCACCCAGAAGCCATTGTGTCCATCAGAATAGAGCTCTGCCAGACTGGGTACAGTGCAACCCACAGAGAATGTTCTTCCTGCTCTGATGACCAACCCAACCAGCCCTAACTTCACCTGGGCCTTCTGCCTTTTGGCTGCCACAAGGAGGAGATGGTACCGAGGGGCGACAGGGAGGCTGACATCATCTAGGCCAGCTGCAGGAAGCAGTAGGGCAGACAGAGTCTTCTCAGGGCTGCCTTTGTCCAGAGCCTCATTGATGAGGCTGACTGCAAGGACCCCTAAGAAAGAGAGATCTAGGTGGGCAGGGGGCCCCTAGACTTAATGGCTAAGGGACAGGACTGCCTAAGTTGGGCCATCTCCACCCAGCTCCAGACTATACTTACGGTCAGTCTCTTCCTGGGTCTGTGCATTGACCTGGCTCACGGTGGCCTGCAGGTCATTCCAGCTCAGGAAGTCCTCACCCATCCCACGCTCCTGTCGCAATTTCAGCAGGGCATCGAAGTAACTGGCAGTGGGGTGAAGGGCAGAGAGGTGAGTAGCATGTGAATCATCAGCCAGAAGTCAGGGGAAACAGTTGAACGATTTTCTTCACTTGACCTCCAGGACACCACACTCTTTTAGTTCTCTTCTTGCCTCACAGGCTATTCTTTCTGAGACACCTCTGCTGGTTCCTCCCTGACATCTAAACATGGGAGCATCCCAATCTTCAGTCTTCAGACCTCTTCTCTCTCCATACTTACATTGTAGATGATCTCACCCAATCTCATGACTTTAACACCATATGCTCCCGAAAGCACACCTCCAGCCCATTCATTTATCCCAGCCAGCTCCTTGTGATTTCCAAGTGAATGTCTAACAAGCACCTCAAACCCAACAGCTCACATCTGAACTGGTTCCCCTGCTTAACCTGCATGTCCCACCGTCTCTCCCATCTTGCCCCAAATCTTGGAGTCATACCTAATTCTGTTCTCTCTTCTACCCCATATCTATTATATGACCAAATCCTGTCAGTTTGCTTTCAAAATGTATCCAAAATCTGACTCCTTTTTCCCATCTCCGCTACCGCCCAAGGCCAAGCCCCCATCATCTCTTGCCTGGATTACTCCAATAGCTGTCTAACAGGTCTCCCTGCTTTCCCCTTGTACTCCTGCAGTCAGTTCTCAGCACAGCAGCCAGAAAGATCCCATTAAGTAGATCAGATCGCTGGGCACGGTGGCTCATGCCTGTAATTCCAACACTTTGGGAGGCCAAGATGGGAGGACAGTTTGAGCCCAGGAGTTCAAGACCAGCCTGGGCAACGTACAGAGATCCTATCTCTACAAAAAATTAAAAAATTAGCCAGGCATGGTGGCATGTGCCTGTAGTCCTAGCTACTTGGGAGGCTGAGTTGGGAGGATCACTTGAGCCCAGGAGTTCAGGGATGCAGTGAGCCATGATTGCACCACTGCACTCCAGCCTGGGTGACAGAGCAAGGCCCTGAGCTGTGATTGCATCACTGCACTCCAGCCTGGGTGACAGAACCAGACCCTGAGCTGTGATTGCACCACTGCACTCCAGCCTGGGTGGCAGAGCAAGACCCTGTCTCTAAAAATAAAAAAAAAAGAAGTAGGTCAGATCAACTCCCTCCCGGCTCAAAACCCTCCCGTGGCTTCCTTCCTCACTCAGAGTAAAAACCAGAGTCCTACGTGGTCTGGCCTCGGCTACTTGGTCTTCATCTCCCACTCCTCTTTCTTCCTTACTTCACTCCACCACACTGGCTTCCTGATGTTCTTTGAACACACCATGCACATTGCTTTCTTAAGGCCTCTGCCCCAGATAGCCTCATGGCAATCATTTATGCCCTTTAGGTCTCTTTCAAAATGACCTCCTCAGCAAAGAGATCTACATTATGTAAAACAGAAAAACTGTCCCTACTATGTCTCTACCCATTACCCACTTTGCCCTATTTTATTTTTCTCTATGTCTTTTCTTCTTTTCTTTTCTTTCTTTCTTTTTTTTTTTTTTTTTTGAGATGGAGTTTCGCTCTTGTTGCCCAGGCTGGAGTGCAATGGTGCGATCTCGGCTCAACACAACCTCCACCTCCCAGGTTCAAGTCATTCTCCTGCCTTAGCTCCCAGAGTAGCTAGGATTAGAGGCATGTGCCACCACGCCCGGCTAATTTTGTATTTTTAGTAGAGATGGGGTTTCTCTACATTGGTTAGGCTGGTCCCAAACTCCCGACGTCAAGTGATCCTCCCGCCTTGGCCTCCCAAAGTGCTGGGATTACAGGCGTGAGCCACTGCACCCAGCCACCTCATCTTCTTTTCTCATCATCTGTCTCCCTTTACTAGCATGTAAGTTTGACAAGAGCAGAAAGTGTTTTGTTCACTGCTGTTTCCCAGCACCTAGAGTAATATCTGGCACATGGGTCAGTACTCAAACATCTGCTAGGAAAGAATGAATCAATGAAGAAAAAAGGAATGACTGTGATCCCATCCACTCCCAGGAAGAAACACAGGCCAAGGAACTGTGAACAGACCCAGAGGGTGGGCCTGGGCCCAAGAATGGGACATCGTACACAAGGCAAGTCTCCAACAGAAGAGTGCTGAGTCTTGGCTGCATTCCCCCATCCCTCACTCCCAATGTGTGGCTAAGCCTTTCTCACCGCTGGGCATTTTCTCCTTCCACCTCAGCCAGGCCTGTGGCAGGGTTCACCAGGCTGCTCCAGAAGCCACTGGCATCCCGGGCCTCCAGGGCCCGGTTAATCAGGACCACAGCTGAGAGCATCTCCACAGCCACGAAGAGCTCCTCCTGGCCAAGCTCCTACAATGGGTGGGAGGGCCAATTCCCAAGTGGGCAGGTGAAGGGTCTAAAGGCCTATTCACCATCCTGCCCCCAAGGTTCTTGAATATCCCAGAGTCTCTATCCCAAAACCCCAGTGGCCTGATTCACTCACTAATAATCATCATACAAAACACCTGATAATACTTACTATGTGCTCAATTATAAGTACTTCACACACATTATCATTTAATTTTCATAATAAGCCGACAATAGAACCATAGTACCATTAACATCCCCATTTCATGGATGAGCCCACGACCAATAATGTAAGTCAAAACTAGCTGTCTGATTTCAAAGCCCACACTTAACAAGTAAGCTCTACCAGCTCCCATTGGTCCCTACTGCATATCAAGAACTGTATTAGCCGGGTGCAGTGGCTCACACCTGTAATCCTAGCACTTTGGAGGCCAAGGTGGACAGATCGCTTGAGCTCAGGAGTTTGAGACCAGCTTGGCCAACATGGCAAAATCCTGTCTCTACTAAAAATACAAAAATTAGCTGAGCATGGTGGTGCGTACCTGTCATCCCAGCTACTCAGGAGACTGAGGCAGGAGGATCGCTTAAACCCAGGTGGAGGTTGCAATGAGCCGAGATCATGCCACTGCACTCTAGCCTGGGTGACAGAGCCAGACCGTCTTAAAATAAAAAAAAAAATTGAACTGCACTAGGCCCTGGGTATACAGAGATGAAGATGGAGTGGTCGCCTCCACACTGCACTGCACCGCACACCCAAGAAGCTCCGGCCCCATTTCCCTGCCCTGTCCTTCTTCTGCTTTTCAAACATCTGCTTATGCCGTGCCCTTTGTCTAGAGCACCCTTCCTATTTTCTTCTCTGTTTTTTTGAGATAGAGTCTCACTCTGTGGCCCAGGCTGGAGTGCAGTGGCACAATCTTGGCTCTCCCGGGTTCAAGTGATCTCTGAGCCTCAGCCTCTGGAGTAGCTGGGATTTCAGGCATGTGCCACCACCACACCTGGCTAATTTTTGTATTTTCAGTAGAGATGGGGTTTCGCCATGTTGGCCAGGCTGGTCTCAAACTCCTGGCCTCAAGTGATCTGCCTGCCTGGACCTCCCAAAGTGCTGGGATTATAGGCATGAACCCCCACACCCAGCCCCCTTCCTATTTTCTCCTAACAGAATGTTGTGAATATCAACAACAATAATATTAATAGCTAAAGTTTACTTTCTTCTCTAAGGTTCTTACTTTCTTCTCTTAGGTTCTTCTCTAAGCAAATATGTTCCCTTATTTAATCCTATAGCCTGAGGTAAATATATTATTGTTCCCATTTTATATTCAAAGAAATTGAGCAGCAGAGAAAGTAATTAACTTGCCCAATGTCACATAGCTAAGAAGTAGCAGAGCCAGATTTGAACTCACGCAGCCTGGCTCAAAAGTCCACAACTTTAGTCACAATGCTTTACTTCTTAGTACTTATTTTATGCTTCCTTGTACATAGTCATTCCTATGTTGAGACTGTGCCTTTCCTGAGGGCTGTGCCTGTATCCAAGTCATGCTGGGAGTAGATGCTCTATAAACACCTGCTGTGGGTGTAGTTCTCTATTGATTCTCTTCCAGGAAGACTTCCCGGCTCTGCTTCCTCCATTTCCTTGGTCTGAAGACTTCTTCCACTTATGTCATCTGCTCTTCTCTCCCTGTGTGTCTCTATTTGGACCTTCAGGTGTATTCTAACTCCTCCAACAGACAGAAAGTCCCTAAGTGAGGGCCCTGTCGTTTCACTGTCAGAGAAGAACTATGGATTGGGATGAGGTGGGACAGTGAAGTGCTTCAAAGCATGGGCTTCTGCATCCACTCCCAGCACTGGCACTCACAGCTGTGTTGGGCAAGTGACTTAACTCTGCATCTCAGTTTCCCCATCTCTAAAATAGAATGCCTCCCTCATAGGGTCCTTTTAAGGATTAAATGAGTATGTAAAGCAGTGTTTGCTCAAGGTATTGGCTATTAAAATACGCTCAGTAAGGCAGGGATGGTAGCTCTTTCCCCATCCTAATCTCGTGCCAGCATCTCATATCGCACTCACAAGAGGGTGGCCTGGGCTGCCTGTCCTGATCCCTCCAGCTGCATGGAGACTGCAGAGCTAGACCCACATTTCTGGGGCTTACCCCCTGCTGCTGCTGGAGCACTGCCAGCTCCAGCTGGTACATAGACGATGCAACAGGGTACACTGGAGGCAGCTGGGCCTCAGGGCACATCAGCTCCTTCACAGTGTCAGCCGCCACTCTCCTCCGGATGGCTTTGTTGATCCGCTGCACAGCGTGGAGCACTGCAAGGCAGGAGAGCAACAGGTTGTACTGGCCGGGCATTCAGTGGCATCTCCACTCTCCTCACCAACTAGGCTCCGCCGGGGGATCTTGGTGGGGAAATGGCTTTCCAACTGCTCTCAAAAATCTGCTAGGTTTAAAATGCATTTCTAAGTGTTCAGGAAGAAAAGGGGCTGGGTTGCTTTAACAAGAGGCTCTGTAAGAAGCAATTTGTCAGGCCTAGAAATTGAGTAGCTCAGCCTCTGCCCCGCCGCCCTGTCTGGGATGTGAGGAGCACCTCTGCTGGGCCGCAACCCTGTCTGGGATGTGAGGAGTGCCTCTGCCCGGCCGCCCCGTCTGAGAAGTGAGGAAACCCTCTGCCTGGCAACCGCCCCGTCTGAGAAGTGAGGAGCCCCTCCGTCCGGCAGCCACCCCGTCTGGGAAGTGAGGAGCGTCTCCGCCCGGCAGCCACCCCGTCCGGGAGGGAGGTGGCGGGGGGGTCAGCCCCACGCCCGGCCAGCCGCCCCGTCCGGGAGGTGAGGGGCTCCTCTGCCCGGCCGCCCCTACTGGGAAGTGAGGAGCCCCTCTGCCCGGCCAGCCGCCCCGTCCGGGAGGGAGGTGGGGGGTCAGCCCCCCGCCCGGCCAGCCGCCCAGTCCGGGAGGGAGGTGGGGGGTCAGCCCCCCACCCGGCCAGCCGCCCCGTCCGGGAGGGAGGTGGGGGGGTCAGCCCCCCGCCCGGCCAGCCGCCCCGTCCGGGAGGGAGGTGGGGGGGGTCAGCCCCCCGCCTGGCCAGCCACCCCGTCCGGGAGGTGAGGGGCGCCTCTGCCCGGCTGCCCCTACTGGGAAGTGAGGACCCCTCTGCCCGGCCAGCCGCCCCGTCCGGGAGGGAGGTGGGGGGGTCAGCCCCCCGCCCGGCCAGCCGCCCCATCCGGGAGGGAGGTGGGGGGGTCAGCCCCCCGCCCGGCCAGCCGCCCCGTCCGGGAGGGAGGTGGGGGGGGTCAGCCCCCCGCCCGGCCAGCCGCCCTGTCCGGGAGGGAGGCGCGGGGGGGGGTCGGCCAGCCGCCCCGTCCGGGAGGGAGGTGGGGGGGTCAGCCCCCCGCCCGGCCAGCCGCCCAGTCCGGGAGGGAGGTGGGGGGATCAGCCCCCCGCCTGGCCAGCCACCCCGTCCGGGAGGTGAGGGGCGCCTCTGCCCGGCCGCCCCTACTGGGAAGTGAGGAGCCCCTCTGCCCGGCCAGCCGCCCCGTCCGGGAGGGAGGTGGGGGGGTCAGCCCCCCGCCCAGCCAGCCGCCCCATCCGGGAGGGAGGTGGGGGGGTCAGCCCCCCGCCCGGCCAGCCGCCCCGTCCGGGAGGGAGGTGGGGGGGGTCAGCCCCCCGCCCGGCCAGCCGCCCCGTCCGGGAGGGAGGTGGGGGGATCAGCCCCCCGCCTGGCCAGCCACCCCGTC
This sequence comes from Homo sapiens, assembly GCF_000001405.40. NCBI lineage: Eukaryota > Metazoa > Chordata > Mammalia > Primates > Hominidae > Homo > Homo sapiens. Next base: position 116,670 of record NW_025791758.1, read on the forward strand.
CGGGAGGTGAGGGGCGCCTCTGCCCGGCCGCCCCTACTGGGAAGTGAGGAGCCCCTCTGCCCGGCCAGCCGCCCCGTCCGGGAGGGAGGCGCGGGGGGGGGGCCGGCCAGCCGCCCTGTCCGGGAGGGAGGTGGGGGGGTCAGCCCCCCGCCCGGCCGGCCGCCCCGTCCGGGAGGTGAGGGGCGCCTCTGCCCGGCCGCCCCTACTGGGAAGTGAGGAGCCCCTCTGCCTGGCGAGCCGCCCCGTCCGGGAGGGTGGTGGGGGGGTCAGCCCCCCGCCCGGCCAGCCGCCCTATCCAGGAGGTGAGGGGCGCCTCTGCCCGGCCGCCCCTACTGGGAAGTGAGGAGCCCCTCTGCCTGGCCAGCCGCCCCGTCCGGGAGGGTGGTGGGGGGGTCAGCCCCCCGCCCGGCCAGCCGCCCCACCCGGGAGGTGAGGGGCGCTTCTGCCCGGCCGCCCCTACTGGGAAGTGAGGAGCCCCTCTGCCCGGCCACGACCCCGTCTGGGAGGTGTGCCCAGCGGCTCATTGGGGATGGGCCATGATGACAATGGCGGTTTTGTGGAATAGAAAGGCGGGAAGGGTGGGGAAAAAATTGAGAAATCAGATGGTTGCCGGGTCTGTGTGGATAGAAGTAGACATGGGAGACTTTTCATTTTGTTCTGTACTAAGAAAAATTCTTCTGCCTTGGGATCCTGTTGATCTGTGACCTTATCCCCAACCCTGTGCTCTCTGAAACATGTGCTGTGTCCACTCAGGGTTAAATGGATTAAGGGCGGTGCAAGATGTGCTTTGTTAAACAGATGCTTGAAGGCAGCATGCTCGTTAAGAGTCATCACCACTCCCTAATCTTAAGTACCCAGGGACACAAACACTGCGGAAGGCCGCAGGGTCCTCTGCCTAGGAAAACCAGAGACCTTTGTTCACTTGTTTATCTGCTGACCTTCCCTCCACTATTGTCCTATGACCCTGCCAAATCCCCCTCTGCGAGAAACACCCAAGAATGATCAATAAAAAAAAAAAAAAAAAAAAAAAAAGAAATTGAGTAGCTCAGCATGTAACACAGAGTGGCTGTCATAGCAGAGGGTGAGTTCCTAAGGTGGTGAGCACAAGATTGACAGGTGGCTATGGAACGTAACTAAGATGAGGTTAGTCAGGGGGCTCTAGGGACCAAGGCTTGATGACAGCACAGAGGAATAAGGAACCAGCTCCAAGGTGGAGCCGTTTGCTGCAAAGGGCAGTAGTAAGCTTAAAAGGGGCTGTGGTGCCTCAATGTAGTCTGAGTTTACAAACTCTGTGGCTTACAAAATGCTTAGCAGATACGGGCACTGACATCAAGGAGAGCACAATCTACTGGGAAGAACTAAGGATACCAAAGTACCTACAGTGCACTGCTGTCAATGTCATGTTAGAAGTCCACCTCCCGCCACCCCCACACAATGCTATGGCAGAGCAGGGGAGGAGGGATTCTGCCTGGGAGAGAGCAGAAGACTTCACAGAGGAGGAAGCCTTGGAGACAGCTCTGGAGAATGTTTTCACCCGCTCATCAACAGGTGAGAATGTGGGAGAAATGTAACCCACAGGACCAGAAGCCCGGTGATGGGAAAGGCTGGAGGGCAATCTAGGGAGAATAGATTGTTTGCTCGGCTGAATTGGATGGAATGTGAACAGAAGAGCTGGGGATGAACTCTGGAAAGGTCTTATCTGCCAGGACAAGGAGATAGGACTAAAGTGTGGGCTAAATAATGGAAGAACCCATGAAGGTCTGAAGATGTTCAACAAGGGAGATAAGATCAGATCTGTGCTTCAGAGATTACTCTGGCAGCAGCAATCGGGAATGAACTGAGTGGATTAGGAAAGCAGCCAGTCAGGAGTGGCCCGGGGGCTACTGAAAGCTAGTGAATGTCGGAAAGCTCTGTTAGACAAAGGTAAATGGTTACTGAGCAACCTCTAAACCTGACAGCAAGTCCAGACTAAGGCAAGCAACTGTAACAGGCCTAGTGTCCACAGGCTACTGCATTTTGCCTCAGCACTGTTTCTCTTCATACTTGCAGTGCAGATAGATCTCTTGGAGGAAGACAATTACTAACTCACATTCTTGTAATAAATAATTATATTTGTGGCCGGTCACAGTGACTCATACCTGTAATCCCCAGCACTTTGGGAGGCCAAGGTAGGCAGATCACTTGAGGCCAGGAGTTTGAGACCCACCTGGCCAACACGAAGAACCCTACCTCTACTAAAAATACCAAAATTAGTCTGCCATGGTGGCAGGTGCCTGTCAACCCAGCTACTCGGGAGGCTGAGGCAAGAGAATCATTTGAACCCAGGAGGTGGAGGTTGCAGTGAGCCGAGATTGTGCCACTGCACTCCAGCCTGGGCAACAGAGTGAGCCTCTGTCTCAAACAAAAACAAAAACAAACAAAAAAGAATTACATTTGTATATAATGTTTTTAAGGGAAACTGAGAAGATGAGTTTTTTGCTCATATTCTGGAAAATTACTACATTTCCGAAGCCAAAGGAATTCAAGCAGGTTGAAACTGTCAAAATTACAGGCAAACTGCCTGGAAGAAAACTGCCTGCCCCAGGAGAACAGCCCAGTGCAGTATTGGCATGTCATTATCTCTAAGGCCTTAATGAACTTATCTGTAGTGTCCCCCCAGGCAGCAGGAATAAAGCAGATTATGTGAGGGGAGAAGTTCCTAGCCAGGCTGGAAACAGCAGCAGTGTGTACTGCCCAATACAGAAGCCAGCAAAGAGGTGGGATACTCTTCTAAGAGTCAGAGATACGCACAGAGCAGGCCTCAGACCTGCAGATGACTTACTGGCTTGTTCCTGATCACCCTTTGTGTTGGCTGCAGCCACACCAGCCTGGACTTCCTCCTTTTCCAGAAGCTCCACCAGGCCCAGCTCCTAAGAGAGGGAAGAGATACAGTAGAATGGAGTCCTTCCGGGGCCATGACCATGCTTTACGAGTTGCCAGCATGAGCTCCCAGGTCTACCCAGCCACCTACCCTCAATCCTACCTCTCTCCGTTAGGCTGGCTCACTCATCCCTATTAACCGTTTTTTTTTTTTTAAGATGGAGTCTTGCTCTGTCTCCCAGGCTGGAGTGCAGTGGCACAATCTCGGCTCACGGCAACCTCTGCCTCCCGGGTTCAAGCGATTCTCTGCCGAAGCCTTCCAAGTAGCTGGGATTACAAGCGTGTGCCACCACACCAGCTAATTTTTGTATTTTTAGTAGAGACAGGGTTTCACTATATTGGCCAGGCTGGTCTCAAACTCCTGACCTCAAGTGATCCACCCACATCAGCCTCCCAAAGTGCTGGGATTACAGGCGTGAGCCACAGTGCCCAGCCCTATTAACTCATCTTTAATCTTTCTTGCTCAGCAAGCATCTAAAATAACAACATAGACAACACGAATGTGTCAGGGGAAAAGTCAACTACTTTAAAAACAAGATTGCTAAGTGGAGGCACCAGTTCAACAATGGGGGAGCACATTACTGCCTATGGGACTGTCCTTGGGTTCCTCTTGGTCAGCCTGGGGGACTCTCAGGGACAGAAGCTGATCAATCTGGTCTACTAGGCCTTGGGGTGATTTAACCATTTAAACACGTAGTCAGCACTTACAGAATACAAAGGACCAACAGTGGTGATCTTTGAGTAAGAGGCCCTCTCCTATCCTATAGTCACATACAGGGGGTGGCAGGTAATAGACAGAGGCTAACCTGTGCCTTCTGCTCTCTGTCTGAGTTCAGCTGCTCCAGGTACCAGTCAGCAAAGTCTCTCCTCACCCCTCGCAGGGCCAGGGCAGGGTCTTGAAGGGCCTTGAGCAAGGCTTCAGGGCTCTGTCTTTCCAGGGCATCATCAACAACTTCTAGAGCCCCATGGACTGAAAAAAAATGACTCCATAATGGACAGTGTGAGAAAGCCACCTCTCATAATCCCCTAGTCCAGCCCTAGGAATCTACCCTCTTCTTGCCTGCCCGGAATTACCCCCACCCTTTCCCCCTTGGTTCCTGGGCCCATTTGGTTCAGCCCAAATTCTTCAGCTTGGTCTTCACAGCCTTCTCACTTCGCCGCCCCAGACCCCAAGGATATCCTCACCCAAATAGGCAAATGCCCACCCATCCTGAGCCTTCACACGGCTCCTACCCAGATCCCCCCATCCTCATGTATTCTCCACATTGCCCCTCTCGAAGGACCCCAGTCCAACTGCCCCCCCGGCATCAAGAGCTGCTCCTCTCTATGGTTCTCCAGTCAGACAGAAGCTTCCCGGACATGGACTACTTCTCTAGACACCGATGGCCAGAAAGCAGTGCACATACTCCTTGGACTCTGATCTTTCTCCGAGGCAAGAGTTGGCCCAAATGAGACCATAGGGCTTTCTGGCTTGAGAAAAGCTATCCCCAAACCTCCCAGTGCAGGGGCTTACCCTGAGGTCACCCCCAAACCACTCCTGCTCGAGGTCTCTTACCGTTGACATGGTTGATATTGCCCTGGATTTCAGCCTGAGTTAGGTAGTGGTCATAGATGTCCTGGCTTTCTCTGTCATCCTGCAAAAACTCCATTGAAAGGGAACCTGGGAAACCCAATTTAATCTCCTTGTCCTGCTCTTCCCTGCCTGGCTACACTTATTTCTTCTTCTGGGGACCTTCCCAAGGCCAAAGTTCAGTCTGCTCAGAATTCAGGAATTGTGGGGTCTAAAACACTTGGCACTGACATAATTAAGCCAAACCAACCTTTGGAACCTCCAGTCCAATCTCATTCTGTTCTACATTCCAGCACCCCTCTCAGGCTTCCCTGAAGATCATCCCCCAAGAACCTCTTCTCCAGTCTTCTCTTCGGAATTCTCATCATTCTTCCAAGTTCCTTTCCTATTTCTCTAAAATCACTGATAAATTATGGTTTCTCTAAGAAGCAATTTTGGATACTAGAGACATGACAGATAGGAGTCCCGGTTTCACTTGAGACTTTCCAGCCACTCAACTTTTCGGTCCCTGCAACCCAAGACTACTCCTTACATGGTTCCTGGCATTGGCTGCCTTCTCCATCTTGGCCTGGGCCAGCATCTCTTGGTAGACGGCTGCCAGAGGCTCTCGGAGATTCTCCAGAAGAGCACTGGGATTCTGCAAGGCAGCCAGGGTGTCCTCCACCACCCCTCGCTCCACTGCTTCATTGATGGCAAGAACAGCTGCATGGACTGGGAGAGGGCATGGAAACAAGGTCAGGAGGCCAGAGTGAATCCCAGATTGGAGCGCAACCAGTAGCAGCCCACTCTAATGTCATCCTTTTTCCCACCCTCAAGGGCCAGACAAACCAGGTAGCCTGATGGCCCTATCTGTGGATGAGAGCTGGCCAGAACCCATCCAATGGCTGTGAGGCTTGGAGCCCTCCCATACGCATTGAGCCTACTCCTGGCAGGGCAGAGCCTAGTCCTTACCTGCAGCCTCATCCACCGAGAGCTCATTGGCCAAGATGCCCCCGATCTTGCTGAAGGCAGGCAGCTGGAGGCCATATTTGGCCAGTTCGGACGCCATGTTGCTGAGTTCCTCAGCTGCAATGATGCCACAGGTGCCCTTCATCAGGCCCAGAACCCCCAAGACCCTGCCCAGGCTGTGGTGGTCAGGGAAGGAGCTGGGCTTACCTGTGAATTTCACTTTCCCGTATAGATCATGTATCTGAGGGGCCAATCCCAGCCGGAAGAGGAAGAGACTAGGAAAAAACGGAAGGCATTGGAAGGCACTGGGGCCTATTCATTTTGACACTCTGCCCACGATGGGTTTGAAGGGGATACTATGGGGACCTAGAGATGAAGACCACTCAGCACCTGCCCTCAAGTCATCCCCAACCCACATAAAGAAATATGACCATAAATCAGCCCAAGGAAAGTGCTGCAGAAGGTAAATAAGATGGTGTTGGGGGTCTGAGGGGATTAGGAAGGCTTCACAGAGAAGGCCACATTGCAGTAGCAGGTCACTCAATGGAGAGAGAGGACAGGAAGGGCGCAGCAAGCAGATACCTGCTGAGCTAAGGCACAGGGGCACAAAGGGACATGGGAAGTGGTCAGAAAGAGATGGCATGGTAAACACAAGGAACCGGTCGGTCACTTGCTGTGATTTAGCCAACTGGTTGCTGATGGCTGGCTGTAAGTAGGACCAAAGAGCCTACACCATCCATACTAAGTGTCTTGCCTGTGTTGCTCTCAATAGGTCCTGTTCTGATTCCTTTATACCCAGTTACAAACTGAAGGCCCTACCCTGCTACTTTCCTATCTCTGGTACCCTGCCTGCCCTTCCCCTTCACCCACACAGGCCATACATAAATGTGCCCACAGACATGCACAAAAATCTAAACACAACTCTGTAAATCTGAAACCTCACTCTCCTGAGCAGTGCTCCCTGTGGTCTACCCTTCATCCTTCTTTCTTGCTGAGTTTGTTGTTGTTGATTGTTGGTCGCATCCACCTAGAGGAACCTGGATGATAAAATTTGAGGTCTCTCACCTGAGAGCATGGATGCAGTAGACTACCCGGGGCATGTTCTTTTTGTCATAGATGTCCGTGGTCTCTGGGAAGAAGGTCTAGAGGAGAAACCAGCCAGTTACTGCCATTGGGAACCTTTAAGCACCACCAAATGCGGAGAGGGGGTGCCGAGGAATGGGTCTTCCTCTCCAACCTGAGGTGTGTGTTCCCTTGTTACCTGGGGTGTCTAGGTCAGTCTCCCCCAACCATTTCTAGTCAGCCTAGTATAAAAGAAATTCACTGAGGATGCATACTAAGCCAAGGCTCAGCCACAGACACATAGTCCTAGGGTGCCCTGGATTAACCAAACACCAGATAAGGCCATCAAGGCTACAGGATATAAGCCATATCCTCCAAAAACAATAACAGCAACAACAACAAAAAACCAGGCCCCCAGTTGTCTTCCAGATGTCTATAGTGAGCCTGCATGCCTCACCTTAGACCCTTGCCAGAGATGTGGTATGCTGGAGAGCTGGCCTACTCCCATGCAGGGCCCAATGAAGCATATATTGCCAAGGACCACAAAAGTGTCAGGCTGTTATCCCTGTCTCCAAGCCAGCGGCTTCTGATCAATGAGAGCCCTTCTAAGAACCGAGTGGCACCAGGTATGGCTTCTCAATGCCACCTGACAACTGTAATGAGGCCTAACCTCAATATATCTTGGTTATATTTAGATTCACAATAAAAGACCAAATTTAGAGACCTAGAGTGTTCCAGTCCCACTGAAGACACATGACCTCTATTGCTTCTGCCTCCCATCGAAGTGTCTTTACTGCTGTTTCCTGTCTTATAGTGCCTTTCTACAGGGAAGAAAAACAAAGCAGAAAGAAACCATACATTGTAGAATCCTATCATGCCTTCATTTGTATAGCTCTTCACAGTTCACAAAGGGAGTTCACACAGACCATGTGATCTTCCTGACAACACTGTAAGGTAGACAGGGCAGGGCTCACTATCCCCATTTTACAGATGAGTAACAAATTGAGGTTCAAAGAGTGAAATCATGTGTCCAGTTGGGGTTTTGGACCTAGGCTTCTAACTCAAAGTCTGCCACCTAGGGATGTGTATACCCTTGCTTCACACTGTGAAATTTGGTGGAGACAAGGCTGGCCAATACGAGCATGACATAGCAGCCTCCCACCCCCTGCATAATGGGAACCGTGCCACTCAGGCCAGGGAAACTTCACCTCCTTTCATCCACAGGGAAGAGGAGGCAGAGAAAAAAATAACCTGGTTCAAAGACACACAGCTGCAAGGAACTGTTCTCTTAGATTAAGTTAGTTTAGAAGACACATGGAAATAGGGCTAAAGGGTCCAGGGAGATAAAGCATGGGATTGTGGGAGGTGGCTGGTAAGGAGTAAAGATGAATACCAATCTTCAGGCCCAGTATTACCGAAGGCAGACCGATGTGGGCTATTGCAGATAGCCAAAAGTTGATGTTGTCTGTGTGACGGAAATGTAAGCCAGTTGCCTGAAAGGGAAGGAAAAAGAAAATCTATTTCCACAGTTCTCAGCACTCCCTATGGGTAAAGCCCAGACTACAGCTTAAAGATTCAGGAGAGATGGGCAGAGGGGAACCAGAGGACCACATCCTGTGGATTTTCCATCCCTACCAGGACAGAGAAACATAGATTAATAACACTCCCTTTTATCCAGATTTGGACAATAAGTTATATGGTCACTCTACCCTCACAGCTTTGAGGAGAAAGCATAGTTTGAGGGGACGAAGGTAGAAGGTGGGGTCCAATCCTCCCACCTGGTACCGCAGCTGCTCCACATCGTAGATCTTCTTCAAGGGAACCACGGAGGGTGCAAAACAGTGGCCTAGCTTGGCCAGCAGCACTCCATTCCGAAGGCTCTCCTCCAGCTCCACCGGGGAAGGAAGCTCCTCCTTCAGGCAGGCCTCCATCCAGCTATGAACATGAGAACACCTTCTCACGCACTCTGGCAGACCACAGTGATTTATTCTAACAACAGGAACTTCCCTCTGTCCCTCCTTTTAAGTGGCCCCTGACCCTCCTCTGCTTCCTGTTCCTGCTCTACCTCCAACTCCCTTCTCTGCCCATTGCCTGGCTGTTCCCACCTTCTCCTAGGTTGCCCCAAATATCTGGACTGGCCAACCCTCAGCCCCACCCACCCCAGCAAATCTTCCTTGACAGATCCTGAACCTGCCCATCTTCAGTGAGGCTTAACTGTTACATAGCTTCTCACTCAGTCTAGTTACATGCTTTTTTTTTTTTTTTTTTTTTTGAAATGGCGTCTCGCTCTTGTTGCCCAGGCTAGAGTGCAATGGTGCGATCTTGGCTCACTGCAACCTCCGCCTCCCAGGTTCAAGTGATTCTCCTGCCTTCAGCCTCCCGAGTAGTTGGGATTACAGGCACACCCCACCACGCCCAGCTAATTTTGTATTTTTAGTAGAGATAGGGTTTCTCCATGTTGGTCAGGCTGGTCTCAAACTCCCGACCTCAGGTGATCCGCCCGCCTTGGCCTCCCAAAGTGCTGGGATTACAGGCATGAGCCACCGCGCCCGGCCCTAGTTACATCTTTGACTGCTAAACAAAATAGAACGTGCTCACTTCTTTCATTCTGGGTTGTTCTCTGAGAACCTGGGTGCAGAAAGGTCATGTCTGCCTGAATGATCTACATGGCTCATAACCCAGCTTTGATGATGATGAGAGTAGTGGGGCTGGTGGAAGGGGAGCAGCACAAAGGGACAGAACGACCACAGCTCTTGGAGTCCGAAGGCCCCCTTTCCAACCATCTTCCCTACTTCACCTCTGTGAGCCTCAGTTGCACAATTTGCAAAATGAGGATAATGCCACCTGTATTTCCTTCAGTGGGCAGCTGCCAGGATCAAATGAGCTAATGAATGTGAAAACACTTTGAATATAAAGTATTATTATTACTGATGGTTGTATGAGGGAGAGATTAAAGTCTACTCAGATGGAATCTCCAAACTTCCCTACATATTGGGGTCTAATTGGAAAGTATCTGTTTCCAAAAAGAGAGCCAGTTACACATTGTTCCATGTCTTCCCTGCCTTAGACACCTGATTTTTCCTGATTGCCCCATCCTCCTGACTCCTTTAAGAACATTAAAAGAATCCTGTTGATTAAAAGCAAAGAATTAAGTACGTATCCTGCTTTTCCTGTACAGATTGACTTTTAGAGTAACCGAATAGTCCTAAGATGATGAGGGAATGTTCTTTAGGATTTCAGCTAGTAAATATGGAAGAAATGACAGAACTAGAAAATAGTCATTTTACACCCTTGATAAAATAATAAATTCTGATGTAGACCAACAATGAATGAAGGCATTAGATGAAAGTTAATGGGAAATTTTATGATGTGTAAATCAGGTTGGTTTCACCTAAACTCCCAGATTGAACTTAGCATCACTAAAAGTGGAACAAGCAGACATTGTATTCTTTCTATAAGATGTGATATGGAACATGTATCTTACATATGTTAAATATCACATATTTTAGATATATGTATTGCAGTATATAAGGGGTAAAAGGATCTGAGTGGGGGAAAAAAAACCACCAACACTAATGAAGTCTTCTTGTCAAAAATGGCTTTTTGTTTTTGTTTTTTTTTGAGACAGAGTCTCACTCTTTCACCCAGGCTGGAGTGCAATGGCATGATCTTGGCTCACTGCAACATCTGCCTCCTGGGTTCAAGCGATTCTCCTGCCTCAGCCTCCTGAGTAGCTGGGATTACAGGCATGCACCACTGCGACCAGCTAATTTTTGTATTTTTTTTGTAGAGACAGGATTTCACCATGTCAGCCAGGCTGGTCTCAAACTCCTGGCCCCAGGTGATCTGCCCGCCTTGGCCTCCCAAAGTGCTGGGATTACAGGCGTGAGCCACAGCGCCCATCCAGGTTTTTCTGTTTGTTTTTGGAGACACAGTCTCACTTTGTCATCCAGGATGGAGTGCAGTGGTGCCATCTTGGCTCACTGTGGCCTCCTCGACCTCCCAGGTTCAAGCAATCCTCCTTCCTCAGCCCCCCAAGTAGCTGGGACTATGGGCACACGCCACCATGCCTGGCTAATATTTGTATTTTTTGTAAAGATGGGGTTTCGCCATGTTGCTTGTCAAAAATGTTGAACCCAAATCTAATTAAGCCAACATTCATTTATAGGAAATACAGGGTATACAGGAATAAGCTGAATGACACAAGAAAGCAAATAGACACCCATCTCTAAAAAACAGAAGGAAAGAAAGAAAAGAAATAGAGACAAAATGTAGGATGTACTTCAGGAAAATGACCCAGTTTTCTTCAGCAAGTCAATAAGATAATGAACTGAAAAAAGGAGATGGGCTGCTCTGGATTAAAGAAGACATACAAGCAGATGTAATTAGTGAGCTTTTTGGATCCTTATTTGAATAAGATAACTGTAAAAACAGATTTTTTTTTTAAGACAAGCAGGAAAATTTGAAAATGGCTTGGGTATTGATCTTCCAAGGATTTAAAATAATTTAGTTGGATATTATAATGGCATTGTGGCTATATAAGCGAACGTCCACATATTTTGGAGATACATATTGCGGTATATAGTGGGTAAAAGGATGTGACTGGGATTTGCTTCAAAAAAAAAAAATTAAAAAGCTATTTCAACTCGCCCTTTCCCACAGGATGGACTCTCGATCTGTTGCATTTGCTTTAGCGGCAGATGCCTAGGGTGGGGTGGTAGAAAGGGAGAGCAGAAAGAGTCCATCTTCCTGGACTCCGCTCACCGCTTGGCCTCCTCCAGCCGGCACAGGTACTGATAGGCAACATTCTGCCGCCTCTGCTCATCCATCTCCTCAGCTGTGAGGCGTTCATCTGAGGAGTTAAACGGGATAAGGTCAATGAAGAGAGCATTAGAGGTGCCTTAGCACTGAAGGGTCTTTTTTTTTTTTTTTTTTTTTTTTGAGACGCCCAGGCTGGAGTGCAGTGGCCCAATCTTGGCTCACTGCAAGCTCCGCCTCCCGGGTTCATGCCATTCTCCTGCGTCAGCCTCCCGAGTAGCTGGGACTACAGGCGCCCGCCACCACGCCTGGCTAATTTTTTATATTTTTTAGTAGAGACAGGGTTTCACCATGTTAGCCAGGATGGTCTTGATCTCCTGACCTCGTGATCCGCCCGCCTTGGCCTCCCAAAGTGCTGGCATTACAGGCTTGAGCCGCCACCATGCCCAGCCGAAACATCTTCTCAACAGACTTGTTTAGGCAACCCTGCTCAGAGACCTGAAACATCTCCCATGTGTCCCTCCTTCTCTTCCCAGGATACCCTTTAATAGGCAGCCTCCTCCTGTGCTGGAGGCATTACTTCTCTTTCCTCTGTAGCCATCTTCCTGTCCTCTTCCTCCTCAAGTCTACTCATGGAACTTCCCTCAGTACCTCCCAGCTGGGACATCCAGAGCCTTCCTTGGCTTGAAACTTAACTCCTTTTCTTATCCCTAATTAGACTGAGTTCTCCAAGAACTGGACCTGTGTCATCCTCGTTGGTTACTCTCTCAGAGGTGAGGTAATAGAACCAACCAGAATTCATCATTCACTCATTCATTCATTCATCAATACCTCCTTTATGCCAGGCACTGGACTAGCAGACCCCTACTCTTAAGAAATGCAGAGATAAAGGCCTGCATGGTGGCTCATGCCTATAATCCCAGTACTTCTGGATGCTGAGGTAGGTGGATCGCTTGAGCCCAGAAGTTTGAGACCAGCCTGGGCAACATGGTGAGACCCTGTCTTGACAAAAAATACACAAATTAGCCTGGTGTGATGGTGCAAACCTGTACTCCCAGCTACTGGGCCTAGACCTGAGCCCAGGAGGTCTAGGCTGCGGTTAGCCATGATCGTGCCACTGCACTCCATCCTGGACAACAGAGATATTGGTGGGTTTGTTTTGTTTTTGAAACAGGGTGTCACTCTGTCACCCAGGCTGGAGTGCAGTAGTGCAGCCTTGACCTCCTGGGCTCAGGTGATCTTCCCACCTCAGCCCCCCCACCACCAAATAGCTGGGACCACAGGTGCGCACCACCATGTCTGGCTAATTCTTGCGTTTTTTGTTGAGACTGGTTCTCACCATGTTGCCCAGGCTGGTCTTGGACTCCTGGGCTCAAGTGATCCTCCCGCCTTGGCCTCCCAAAGTGCTGGGATTACAGGCGTGAACCACAGCGCCCAAAGATTATTATCAGAAGAGAAAAACATCTGAATAAATTAATCTAACATGATAAGTATGATTATAGCCCATGCATAAAATCTATGGGAGCAGCAGAGGAAGCAAAGGATTCTAGCTATGAACTAGATCTTAAGGAATAAATAGGCGGAACACAGGGAAAGGCAGTCCAACAGAGGGAAACATGCCACTCACTTGGGATTAAGTGGAAGGACAAAGAAAATTTTAAAAGATCACAAAGGTATCTTCACTATCCTTTTTGGTATAGGTCACCCGAGGAGGAAAAGAATCTTCAAGCTAAATAAAATACAGAGTACTGATTCCAAAACTCAAGAATAGAGAATCCCTCAAGTGAGACAGCAATCATAATTTGCCTTAGTTACAGTCTCCCTTAATCCTTCTCCCTTCTCTCCCCTCTCTCTATTCTCCTTAGAAACACAATACAAAATCAAACAGAAAGAGTAAGAGAAAGCTACACACACAGTAAGAAAATAAACTCAGAGAGCTTGAAAAAAGGCAGAGCTTAGCCAATCTGTCTTTGACTCAGCACTTAATGTCATTCCCGGTTGTTATCCTATTTCCTTATATTGCATATTCTGCAATGATTCAGGGAAGGGCAGAGCTTATATGAATGAGCAGTTAAGTAAATTAAAACACATGCGTGCACACACACACACACCCCTCCAAATACAGATTTGAAAACACTGGCCAACCACAGGAAAGCCATCAGTTCCTCCAAGGGGGTGTACAAGGAACAAGTGTTGGTTGTTAAGCATGGAAAATAAACCAGTAAGTGAATGACATCATCTCAGAGTTATGAACTGAGGACTGTGGGCGATGGGAGGGATTTTGTACATACACATGCTGTCTCAAAAAAATAAAAAACCGAAAAACAGTTTTCCTGTCCTTCTCAGGTCTGGAACTAGTTTTCCTTTAACAGAAGACTGGACATGGACTTTGCTCTTTGAATCCTAATAGAAAGGAAGGGAGTGGTGGAAGGAGCAGGTTTTCCTTTCATTCAGAAAATCAGATAGAACCTTTCTGCCCCACCCATCCTTCCAGCTCCAGTCTCTCTCTCTAAAACAGTGTCTTTGAAAATGTGGCCCAGGGACTACCTTCCTCACAATCACCTGGGGTGAGGGAAGAAGCACAGCAGTGCTTGTTATAAATGCAGATTATGGGCCCCAAACCAGACCTTCTGGAACTGAAGCTCTGGGACAGGTCCCAGGAATCTGCATCTCAAACAAGCTTCCCGGGTAATTTCACCCCCTGTTTGACAGGCATTGTCTGAAAGCGGCATCTCAAAGCCTAAGAGTCCCCCAGATCCCTTGAGGCGTCTTGTCCGGTGGCATCGCTGGGCAAGTTTGGTAGCCAGCAGTAACTGCTGAATTTCAAGGAGCCATTAGGATCACCTACATTCTCCCGACTCCGGAACCCCAGAACTTGGAAATAGGAAGAAAGTTCTTTGTAAGCTTTAAAGCGCAGCACATTAGTCAGGGGACAATGCGCCGCTCACAGTTCCACTCGGGCCCACGGCGCCCGGGCTGAGGATTCCCGTCCCACTGAGCAGTCCCACCGCCCTCGCCCCTCAGGCTTCACGCCCGACACACGCCCCAATCTCTCCCGGGACAGCCAAGCCCCCGACCAGCGGCACCACTGCGAGACCCTTCTCTGACCCTCTCCGCACTCACAGGCTGCCCAGCCTGGGCCCGCTGCTCTCCTCTCCATGTTCCTCCTTCTTCCAGGTTTGAATCTCCCGCCGTTGGGCCACCGCCCCTCACCGTCGGCACCGCCAGACAGGACACTTCCCGTCCACACCGCTGAGAATCCTGGGATTTGTAGTTCCCGGCCGCGGAGCCGGGCCGCCCAGGTGCTGGGAGAAGAGGCGCCCCAGGCCGGGGCAGTACCGCTCCCCTTACAGCAGTTCCTCGTCTTGTTCCTTCCAGGCTCCTTTTCTGCTTAACAGTCTTATTCTAGCTGCTGCCCCTGCCATTGCCTCTGTCATCTCCACCTAGTATTCCCATTAACCCCTACTCTGCTTCCTATGTGTTCCCGAGTCCGGCTAACTTGTGGGCCTACTTGGCGCTATGCACTAAGCTAGGTGATGCGAATGCAGAGATGTATGAGGGCAGTGAATGCTCTAAAAGAGTTTGCTGTTCTGGCACAAGTGATAGACATATAGTCAAATAAATTAGAGGTCGGTGATGCACAGAGGGAGGGGGTCATTGCTGTGAATAAGAGCAGCGAATGACAGGGAAGACGTCCTGGTGGAAGTGACAGCTGATTTGGGTTGAGAAGTGAAAGAGAATTCATCAGATTGAAGAAGAGAGGCAGTGCAGTCAGTGGAGACAGCATGTGCAAGAACGAGGAGGTGAGTTCGGGAACTTAAACTTGGTTCAGTTTTAGAGGAGAACAAAGCTCAGCCAGGGAGAGGCCAGAAGGGATCCTGGAGGCACAGGGCCAGGTCCAGTAGCACCTTGGGCACCATGCTAGGGCCCTGGCATGGGGTCTGGTGAGCAGTCACCAGCCAAGGAACACTTTAGACATAGGTCAGAGCCAGATTTGTCCTTTAAAAAGAGCCATCTTATAGCAGGGGATTGGAAGGGGGTGAGGCTAGGGGCAGAGACCAGTTGGAAGGCTACTGCAGTAGCACAGAAGAGAGATAATAAGAGCCTGAACTAGGCCAGGCACGGTGGTTCACACCTGTAATCCCAGCACTTTGGGAGGCGGAGGCGGGCAGATTAACTGAGGTCAGGAGTTCAAGACCAGACAGGCCAACATGGTGAAACCCCATCTCTAGTAAAAATACAAATATTAGCCAGGCGTGGTGGGGTATGCCTGTAATCCCAGGTACTCCGGAGGCTGAGGCAGGAGAATCGCTTGAACCCAGGAGGCAGAGGTTGCAGTGAGCTGAGACTGTGCCACTGCACTCCAGCCTGGGCGACAGAGTGAGACGCCGTCTCAAAAAAAAAAAAAAAAAAAAAAAAAAGAGCCTGAACTAATAAAAAATAATTATGACACCAACAACTATGCTGAAAAAATATTATCTGATAGGTTTCCCCATCTTGTATTTCTCCTTTTACCCTTTCCCCACACTCCATCCAAACAACCAAGCAGCCTAGGCTTATAGCTTGGGCAGGTAGGAGAGGAGAATGTGAAAGAACAGAAAACAGAAATCCATACCTAGAGCCTTCAGAGGAACAGAGGAGACTCAGGGGCTGAGACAAAACTGGGAAAAGTGTAATTTGAAGAGTGGATGCCCCCCTGAAGATCTGAGGGATTCCCCTTACCTCTCACCAGCTGGGGGAGACAGAATCTAGATGTTGGTGGCTCCTGGCAACTGGGGTCCCATTCTCTGCTTCCTGGAAAGGACCCTAGGTGTACAGGACCCTGAGAAAGAACAGTTATATAATTAGCCAGGCAGACAATAGACAGCTTTGCAGAAATTCCTGACCTAGACAGAAAGGAAGTATCCGAATGAATTACTCCCCTCTTCTGCTTGGACCCTGGGCTTGAAAGGGCCAGGCAGATGAGAAGAAAGAAGGTGTCAGTGGACACCTTTGTGAATAGACGGCTGAGGACCAGATGAGCCTCATCTTGGCCTCATATACCTCCCCCTACTTAGACTCCACCCTGGGGAAAAGGAGGGGGCAAATCCCCAGACTTGTTCACATTGTTTCCATCATCCCAGTGGAATCAGGGCTTGAAACAGAAGTTGAGTAGAGATTAATTTCTTCCACACCAGAGTTATGGACCAACACACCTATAGTGTTTACTATAGGATGGGTACTATATTTAGCATGATCTTACAATAACTATCTTATTTAATCTTTACAATACAGATTAGAAACTGAGACTTAGAAAGGTCACACAGCTAATAACTGGTAGAGACTAGAGCTAAATGCAGATAGTCGCACTCCAAGCTTGAGTTCTTTTTTTTTTTTTTTTGAGACGGAGTCTTGCTCTGTCACCCAGGCTGGAGTACAGTGGCGCGATCTCGGCTCACTGCAAGCTCCACCTCCCAGGTTCACGCCATTCTCCTGCCGCAGCCTCTCGAGTAGCTGGGACTACAGATGCCTGCCACTACCCCAGCTAATTTTTCTTTTTTGTATTTTTTAGTAGAGTTGGAGTTTCACCGTGTTAGCCAGAATGGTCTCGACCTCCTGACCTCATGATCTGCCCACCTCAGCCTCCCAAAGTGCTGGGATTACAGGCATGAGCCACCGCGCCTGGCCTTATTTTTTATTTTATTTTTTATTTTTTTGAGACAAAGTCTCACTCTGCTACCCAGGCTGGAGTGCATTGGCACGATTTTGGCTCACTGCAACTTCCACCTCCTGGGTTCAAGTAATTCTCCTGCCTCAGTCTCCCAAGTAGCTGCGATTACAGGTGCCCACTACCACGCCTGGCTAATTTTTTTATATTTCTAGTAGAGATGGGGTTTCACCATGTTGGCCAGGCTGGTCTCAAACTCCTGACCTCAGGTGATCTGCCCGCCTCAGCCTCCCAAAGTGTTGGGGTTATAGGCGTGAGCCACCACGCCCGGCCCCAAGCTTGAGTTTTTAACCACTATATACTATACCACCTCCAAGGCATGAGACTGCAGTACAAAGGGTATACTAGAGGAGGATTTCAAAGGTAGAATCAACAGGCTGAGATTGAGAGCCAGAGAAGGAGTCAAGAATGGCTCCTCGGTTTCTGGTTTAGAGACTGGGTTGTTGGTCTACTATTAACACTGAGAACGCTGGAAGGGTAGAGTTAGGGAAATGTGAGTTTCCCTTGGACAAGTTACATCTATAGGTACACATTTAGAAATTATGAGTCTGTCAGTGGTGTTAAAACCACAGGAGTCAGTGAAATGTTCTTAGAAGAGTATATAAAGTAAGAAGAGAAAATAGCAAAGGGCAGCATGTTGGGGGACATTAGCATTTAAGAGGTAGACAGAGGGTCCAGCAAAAGAGATGGAAATGGAATTTTCAGAGAAGGACAGAGAGAGCCAGGAGACAGAACGTTATGGAAGCCAAGTGAAAAGAGAGTGCAAGGATGTGGTGGGTACAGAAAGGAATCAAACAAGAAAATGATTCAGAAATGATCACTGGATAATTGGGAGGTCATTGGAGCCTTGGTGAGAACAGTTTCAGTCCCTGCCCTCTCCCTAAATCATCCTCCCTTCTTAAGGGAAGCCTGCTGAGTGAAGGACAAACTGAGCTGCATATTTGGCCCTGACCAGGCTGTGGTAGCACCTTAAAAGCCCAGCTGTCTGCAGAAGCTGCAGACAGCTGGGTTAGCCTGCCTTGGGCATGGGACTCAGGACACACCACCCCAAAATATGACTGTAGGAAACTAGAATATGCCACCTCAAAATATACTTCTTTGGCATATTTTGAGCAGGTTATTCTGAGAAACTGCAGACACAGGAGTAGCGCTGAAAAGTTGTCCTTTCGTAAAAGAAATTTATATCTGTAAAGGAAATCTACATTAGTAAAGTACCTGTATCAGGAAGAGGGCTGCTCTGAGATAACTTCTGTTTGTCCTAGCTGGACAACCTCTGTTCACCATGCACTTGCTCCCCTCACCCTCCAATAACTTGGATCAGCACCACCCCCGAGATGCCCCAACCCCTATTCCTTTCTGTAGCTGGGGATGCTGTATAAACGTCAATCGTCTGACTTTTCTTTGAGTCTCATGTGTTACGGGACTCCTGTGTATATGCACATATGTCATGAGCCTCATAACAACGTTTTGGTCAACAACAAATCGCATATACAATGGTGATGCCATAAGATTATAATAGACCTAAAATATTCCTATCACCTAGTGATGTTGTAGCCACCCTAACACCTTAGTACAACGCGTCACTCACATGTTTGTGGTGATGCTGGTGTAAACAGACCTACCATGCTGCCAGTCATATATACATGTATAGTAATGTCCTAGGCTGGATGTGGTGGCTCATGCCTGTAATCCTAGCACTTTGGAGGCTGATGCAGGAGGATTACTTGAGCCCAGGAGTTCAAGGTCAGCCTGGGCAACATAGCGAGATCCTGTCTCTACAAAAAAAAAATTTTTAAGTTAGCTGGGCATGGTGGCACACACCTATAGTCCCAGCTAGTCAGGAGGCTAAGTTGGGAGGATTACTTGAGCCCGGGAGGTCAAGGCTGCAGTGAGTTGTGATTTCACCACTGCACTCCAGCCTGAGTGACAGACAGAGACTCTGTCTCAAAAAACAAAAACATAAACAAAAAACAGTAATGTCCTAGGCCTTCACATTCACTCACCACTCACTCACTAACTTGCCCAGAGCAACTTCCAGTTCTGCAAGCTCCATTCATGGTGACTGCCCTATGCAGGTGTACCATTTTAAATCTCCCTTTTTTTTTTTTTTTTTTTTTGAGACAGGGTCTCCCTTTGTCACCCAGGCTGGAGTGCAGTGGTGTGATCTCAGCTCCCTGCAACCTCCGCCTCATGGGTTCAAGCAATTCTCCTGCCTCAACCTCCCGAGTAGCTGGGATTACAGGTGCGCGCCACCACGTGCAGCTAATTTTTAGTAGAGACAGGGTTACACCATGTTGGCCAGGCTGGTTTCCAACTCCTGGCCTCAAGTGATCCACCCACCTCAGTCTCCCAAAGTTGTGGGATTACAGGTGTGAGCCACCGCACCCCACTTAAATCTCTTATACCATATACTTAGGGTACTTTGTTTAGATATGTTTAGATACACAAATACCATTGAATGACATTTGGTGACAGTATTCAGGAGAGTAACATGCTGTCCAGCTTTGTGGCCTAGAAGCAATAGGCTATACCAGAGAGCCTGGGTGTGTAGTAGGCTACACCATCTAAGTTTGTGTAAGTAAACACCATCTATGATGTTTGCACAATGACAAAATCACCTAATGATGCATTTCTCAGAACATATCCCTGTTGCTAAGCGAAGCATGACTGTAATTAAAATGGTTTTTCTCCTGCTAATCTGTCTTATGTCAATTTAATTTGTAGCCCAGCCAAAGAATCTAGAAGGGTAGGGAGAAGCCATTTTTTCACTCTGCCACAGCACCATCTGTAGCACCCAGCACTATGCCTGCACATAGCAGGCATTTAGCAAAGGCTGCAGGCCAAACGCAGGTGAGCCCCGTCACTTCATAATTTTTGTTTCTGGCAAAGGCCTCTTTACTTAAAAGAGGCCTTTCCCTAGGCAATGAGGACATTTTCTTTCTGATGCAGGCCACCCTTGGTGAGTTGGGGCATTATATTCCCTTCGTCCTGGGGCCTGCTGTCCTCTCATTAAGCAGAAACTGTAGGTCACAGATCAGTGGAGTTGGAAAAAGGAGTCTTGGGGGAGTCTCTTCTGATCTCCAGGCCTTTCCTGACTATCAATCTTTCACCCTGTTCCCAAATGTGAAACCACCACACAGAAGCACAGTATGTAAGAGAGAGAGAGAGAGAGAGAGAGAGAGTGTGTGTGTGTGTGTGTGTGTGTGCGCGTGCGTGTGCGTGTGAGAGAGAGAGAGAGAGAGAGAGAAAGGGTTCACTTCCAGGACAGCTCAAGCCCCATTAAAGCTTGCTATCACAGGTCATGCCGGGTGCAGTCTGTAATCCCAACACTTCGGGAAGCCAAGGCAGGAGAATCATTTGAGCTCAGGAGTTTGAGACCATCCTGGGCAACATATCAAAACCCCATCTCTATAATAATAATAATAATAATAATAATAATAATAATAATTATTATTATTATTATTATTAGCCAGGTGTGGTGGCACATGCCTGTGGTCCCAGCTACTTGGGAGGCTGAGGTGGGAAGATCGCTTGAGCCCAGGAGGTAGAGGCTGCAGTGAGCTGTGATCATCTAGGCACTTCAGCCTAGATGACAGAGCAAGATTCTGTCTCAAAAACAAACACACAAACAAAAAAAACAACTTGCAATCACACAGTGTAGTGGAAGGGACCCTAGGCTACTCACCTTGAATCAAAAAACCTAGAGTTGGCTGGGCGTGGTGGCTCATGCCTGTAATCCTAGCACTTTGGGAGGCAGAGGCAGGCAGATCACCTGAGGTCAGGAGTTCAAGACCAGCCTGGCCAACATGGGGAAACCCAGTCTATACAAAAATACAAAAATTAGCCAGGTGTGATGGCAGGCACCTGTAATCCCAGCTACTCAGGAGGCTGAGGCAGGAGAACGGCTTGAACCCAGGAGGCAGAGGTTGCAGTGAGCTGAGATTGCACCACTGCACTCCAGCCTAGGCAACACAGCAAGATTCCGTCTCAAAAAAAAAAAAAAAAAAAAAAGACGGGGTGCAGTGGCTCACACCTGTAATCCTAGCACTTTGGGAGGCCAAGGCAGCCAGATCACTTGAGGTCAGGAGTTCGAGACCAGCCTGGCCAACATGGTGAAACCCCTTCTCTACTAAAAATACAAAAATGAGCTGGTTGTGGTGGCGTGCACCTGTAATCCCAGCTCCTCAGGAGGCTGAGGCAGGAGAATCACTTGATCACTTGAGCCCGGGAGGCAGCGGTTGCAGTGAGCCGAGATGGCGCCACTGCACTCCAGCCTGGGTGATAGAGTGAGACTCCATCTCAAAAAAAAACATAGAGTCTAACCCCAGCTACGTGACTGCTCTGTGACCTTAGTTAAGTCACATCTGCTGTCTGAGGCTTGGTCCCTTCCTCTGTGAAATGAGGGGATGAAGTAGATGATTTCTGAGGGTGTAACTAGTAAGCGCCCCTCTGATGCCTTGATTCATTTCTTGAAGTGAGGGACTTGAGGGGGTGTGTCTGCAGCACTACCGAGGTTTAGCACTAAGATACGGCTTCAGAGCTGTCACTCAAATAATTCCCTACGACTGGAGGGTGGTACCTGGTTGTCTAGTAACCTCTAGGGCTTTGAGCTAACAGCTTGGGAGGTAACCCAAGCCAGAGGGGCCATTCCAGAGAGCCAGCTGCGGAGAAGACCCAAGGAGGTAAGGTGTCCTGCAGTGGGGATCCCCACACTGGATGGGGGTGGTCAGGAATGCCCTGGAGTGGAAGGCCTTGAAAAGGCAGGATTTCTGGGTGTTCTTAGAAGCAGGGGGAATTTCTTTTAAAAGAGACTGCTTTTCCTCTGCCTGCCCCTCCTAAAAAAGGGGAAAAAAAGGATAAAATGGGAGGGGTCAAGAGCCCAGGGCCTGGGTCTTTTCCACTCTTTTTCCCATCTCCTGGGAGGAGAGTTCATAAAAAGCTTTTGCCCTTCAAGGGGAAAAATACAAACAGGATATACAAGCTGCTGAGATGCTTGTATTCAGGTTTAAGAGGGCTCTGGAGACCAGAGCAGGAGGCTGGGGGCCTAGAACCAGCCAGCAGACAGAAAGCGGAAGAAATGGAGAGAGAGCTTCCCCTTGAGCTAGGGAAGGGGCAGTAAATGCATGTTCTGTCCCACACCACACTCCTTTTCAGAAAATCCTTCTCTCCTGGAGGTTCGCTCCTTGCCAATTCAGGAGCCTCCTCACCCTAGGGTCCCCAGTGCCTAGTGTGGTTCCTAGCACATAGCAGGGGCTCACTGAGTGCTTGTTGAACTGACCTGAACTACGTCTTGAGATTAGATAGCAGGAGTACCTAGATGATGAGTGAGGGGGGTGTCTGTGGAGGCACAGTGTGAAGGAAGTTATGGAGGAGAGGCCCTGCATATGCGGTTCCTTCATCTATTTATTTGCAGCTTTTTTTGAGACAGAGTTTCTCTGTCACCCAGGCTGGAGTGCAATGGCGCGATCTCAGCTCACTGCAACCTCCACCTCCCGGGTTCAAGCAATTCTCCTGCCTCAGCCTCCCGAGTAGCTGGGATTACAGGCGCCCGCCACCACGCCCGGCTAATTTTTGTATTTTTAGTAGAGACGGGGTTTTACCATGTTGGCCAGGCTGGTCTCTATCTCTTGACCTCGTGATCTGCCCACCTCAGCCTCCCAAAATGCTGGGATTACTGGTGTGAGCCATCGCACCTGGCCTATTTGTTCAATCCAAAAACACTCGTATGGTGGTAACATATACATAACATACAATTTACCATTTTAACCATTTTAAAATGTGCAGTTCAGTGGCATTAAGTACACTCACATTATTGTGCAATTAACACCACTATCCATCTCCAGAACTTTTTCATCTCCTTTCATAAACATTTATTGAGAATCTACTGTGTGCCAGACCCTGCAAGTTGCTCCAAATCTAGTAGTGGGGGGAAGACAATAAAGTCATCAGCTCTGACCCAGTGTGATAAATGCTATAAAAGACATAGGCATCAAGTGCTATGGGACCACAGGAGTACCCAGTTGGTTGAGAAGAAGGTGCGTTCTGAAGTAAGCTGTTACTTGACTTGAGTCTTGAAGGAGGACTAAGAATTAGTCAGGAAGTTAGAGTGAGAGTGGATATGGTGCCCAATGGGACAGAAGAAACAAAGTGAGAGATCAGAGAGCAATCCTTGAAACCCTGAGGGTCATGCTAGGGCAGGGGTAGAGCTGAATTGCCCTAAGGGGGTCCTGCTATCTAGAGGAAGCCAAGGCTGACATACTGAGCCCTCTGTTCCCCTTTGTCAGCCCTATGTCTTCCCCCAACCCTGAGGATGTGCCCCGGAGGCCAGAACCTGAGCCCTCAAGCTCCAATAAGAAAAAGAAGAAAAGAAAGTGGCTGCGGCAAGAAGCCAGCATCCAAGCCCTCACCAGGGCTGGCCATGGGGCCCTTCAGGCTGGCCAGAACCATGAAGCCTTGAACAACTTCCAGAGGGCCTTCCTTCTGGCCTCCAAGGCCCCACAAACCAGGGATACCCCTGTGCTCCAGGCCTGCGCCTTCAACCTGGGGGCTGCCTATGTGGAGACTGGGGACCCAGCCAGAGGCCTTGAGCTACTCCTGCGAGCCCACCCTGAAGAGAAGGCACAGGGCAGGCGACACGGCGACCAATGTTTCAATGTGGCTTTGGCCTACCATGCCCTCGGCGAGCTGCCTCAAGCTTTGGCCTGGTACCACAGGGCCCTGGGCCACTACCAGCCACAGGGTGACCAGGGAGAAGCCTGGGCAAAAATGGGAGCCTGCTACCAGGCTCTGGGACAGCCTGAGCTAGCAGCCCACTGCCTGCAGGAAGCAAGCCAGGCCTATGCTCAAGAGAGACAGCTGCGGGCCGCAGCCCTGGCACTGGGGGCTGCGGCAGGATGTATGCTGAAGAGTGGGCGGCATCGGGTGGGGGAAGTTGTGCAGGTGCTGGAGAAAAGCCGGAGGCTTGCCGAGAGGAGCACTGAGAGGCGACTGCTGGGTGAGACCTTCGGGCAGGGAAGGCATGGGATCTGGGGAGACACAGAGCCTGATGATACTCAGAGGGCTGGGTTTGGGGAACCCTGGAGGAGTCGATAGGGGCTGTACCAGCCTCATTTATATCTGGTCTGGCTACCAGTGACCCTGGCTATTCCCTCTAGGGCACCTCTATAACGATCTAGGCCTGGGCTACTCCCAGCTCCAGCTGTTCCCGCTGGCCGTGGAGGCCTTCCTGCAGGCCCTGCCCCTGTGCTGGGTGCCAGGAGAGCAGGCCACAGTGCTAAGAAACCTCGGGATGGCCCACAATGCCCTCGGCAACTATCAGGAAGCTCGGGAGTTTCACCAGAAGGCTGCTGACCTACACGGTGGGTGCCTGGGGCCGGGGAATGGGACTGGGACTAAGACACTAAGAAGGGGTTCCAAAAGGGGCCCAAGGCTTAAGGGTGGATGGCCCTTTGGGACCACTTATGGAGCCTGAAAATCCAGAACCAGTGGGGGAGAGCTGGAAGTGCAGGAGATGGGACAGCCAGACAGGACAGAGGGTTGTGGGCCCAGAGGCCGAGGCCTCAGGGTTGGGAAGGCAGCAGTGGGCAGGGGGAAGGGTACTGGCTGCGAGAGGAGGCCTGAAGCGGAGTCCAGCCCCTCTGCTGATTGTTTGTGTGACATTGAGGAACCACTTTCACTCTCCGAGCTTCAGTTTCCACATTTTTAAAAACGGGGCCATTAACACCTGCCTTGCCTGCATCACAGGGTTGTTGCCTGACTCAAACTAGCCAGGTGGAGGCACTCACACCAGAACTCAGGATGGGGCCAGGCTGGGTGTGGAGGGTTCAGGCCTCTCGGATGCATCTGGAGTGTTCTGGGGCTGGGCACCAGGCCTCCTGGGAGGTCTGTCTTGGTTGCTGGAGGGTGGGGTCCTGATGTCCCAGCAGCCAGAGTCCCCTCTGAGGATGGGGTGGGCTCTGTCCTCAGGCTCTGTGGGGCAGCGGTGGGAGCAGGGCCGGAGCTTTGGCAGCCTGGCCTTTGCATTGAGCCAGCTGGGGGACCACAAGGCTGCCAGAGACAACTACCTGCATGCCCTGCAGGCTGCCCGGGACTCTGGTAAGCGTGAGAGGGTTGGGATGTGACTGGGACAGTGGGGAGGCTGAGGGTCCTAGGGGCTGGCGGGGAGGCAGATGGGGGGAACTGAGGGTAGGGAGTGCCTCTGAGGGGGTGGATCAGTGGGGTAGGAAGTCATGAAAGGACCTTCCAGGCTCTCTTTCTCTCAGGGGACATGAAGGGACAGTGGCAGGCCTGTGAGGGTCTGGGGGCTGCTGCAGCCAGGCTGGGGCAGTATGACCAGGCCTTGAAGTACTATAAGGAAGCACTGGCCCAGTGTCAGGTGAGACCCCGCACACCGGAATCCACCTCTCCCCTGCTATCCCTCTTCTGGCTGACATTCCTGCCTTCACTCCTTGTCTTCTCCCCATCACTCACTCAATCAGCAAACATGCACTGGACACACTGTGTGCTAGGTCTTGGGATACTATTGTGAGGAAGAGTTCATCGCTGTCCACAATTCTGGGCAGGTGGTGGCAGGACCCTGGGAAAGGCATGGGGATGGGGTAGAAGAGAGGGGAAACAAAGCCCCCCTCCCCCCTCCCTTTCCTGTTTCCTTCTTCCCCAACCCCCAGAGGACCATAAGGTCCAGGCATTCCCCATTACCCTATTATCCACCCTCTTCCCAGAAGGAGCCAGATTCTGTGCGAGAACGGCTGGTGGCCAAGCTGGCAGACACCGTGAGGACGCGCTTGGCCCAGGTGGGGCTGGTCCAGACTCACACCCTGGTGAGATGACACCTGAGACAAGGAGATGGGGGTGGAGAGAGGTTACCCAGAGAAGGGGTTGGTGGTAAGCAGAGACGCTGTTCCCTGGGATGCTGCGCGCTTGGCCGCTCATCTGTGTTCATCCGCCTTGAGCCTGCGCATGAGATATATCACTTTCCAAGGGTGGGAGGTGGGTGGGGGACTGTGGCACGTCTCCAACACAAGGGCTGATATGTAGGTGATTAAAAATAAAGAAATAAATTTAAAAGAATCGGTAGGCCATGTGTGCAAGGAGGTAGAAAGTTTCAAGTCCTTGACTGCAGTTCCCTAAATGGCCACAGGATGGAGATGTGCTCCAAGGAAGTCCCTCTCTCCCGTCTTTAAGTCTCTGGAGGTCATTTCTCTGTGGGTCTCCACCGTGTTCCTCCTTCCAAGTCTCTGCTTTAACCTGTTTCTACCTCCGGGTCTCTCTGTACGATTCGTTGGCTCTCCAACCGCCTCCTCCTTCACATTTTCAGACAACCCCAGAAAACCTCTTCCCGCTCCAGGAATTGAAATGATACTTTAATATTTATATGTATTTAATAGGTTTTATGCCCTTGCATTTTAAAGACCATATTTAAAGACACCATATTTTAAATCTGCAAGCAAAATTAAATTAGCCTGGTACAGGCAGAGGATTGGATTGAGGGGTCAGAATACCTGGGTCCCAGCCAATGTCTGCCACCTATTTTCTGTGACTTTACGGTATCAGGCCCCAGAAGGGATGGGGTGGTCATCAGGCGCTGGCCAGGTCTGCTAGTCCCTAAATCTGAATTCAAGCCTGAGAGTTACTAGCAGGGACCTTAATAGAACAAAGAGCCTCACCCCAGAATTGTATTCTCCGAGACAAGCGGCAGAGCCCGAATTGTCTCTATCACATAAGTCTCTGGAGGGAGCACACACGTAGCTGGGATGGCCGTTTTTCTCAGACCTATTCCCTTTACTCCACTTCATTCCCAGACTTCGGCTCCGGGAAGACTCCAGGCTCCAGGTGGGGCCAGCCAGGCGGAGGGGACCCCAGCAAAGGCAGGAAGCAGCACAGCAGGTGTCCAGCACAGGTGAGGGTGGGAATGGTGCAGCAGAGATGCATGCGCCCTCTGCAGGGTGTTGGGGGCTGTCGCAGTGGGGTAGGACCCCATGTGTATCCCCAGGAAGGAGGGGACTGGTGTCGCTCTGCCAAGCTGTGCCCTGGTTCCTTGCCCCTACAGATCTTCCAGTGGGTGGGAAGATGAAGAGTTTGAGGAGGGCCACCAGAAGAAAAAAGAGGAGAGGTCGGCAAACGTTCCGGTGAGGGCTGGGCCGGGAAGACCAGAGCGTGAGTTGATGTAGAGTATTCCTGGCGGTGCCTCTCCTTACTGCAAATATGGCACTCCCACCCCCACCCGCCTGCCTCCGCTTCTTATGCCCATCCCACCATCCCGCCTTCCTGTTGTCATTTCTTTGAGGCCTGGCACAACCTCGCGCCACCCCTGACCCTGGCTGTCCCAGTTCGCAAGTCCCCAACAGCCCTCCCATGATTTCTGCTTGTCTCTCAAGGCCCTGGACCATTTTCCCTGAACCCTTCTAGAACTCCCTCTTCCTTCCTGCTCTCATGGCTTTCCTAACTTCTAGAACTTTGCATCTTGGACCCCAGGGTTTTGCTGAAAGCCTACTCTGTGCCCAACACAGCGCTGGGTGCTGTTGGTAAACCCCAGCTCACTACTCAATAGCATCTCCCACAAAGACTTGCAACTCAGGGAGCAGAGTTCTTTGCTACTTGTTGAGCTGACCTGAATTTACCGATGTCTCCTTTTCAGTGTGTTTCCTTCCAGGCACAGTGAATCATTCGCACCATCTAGCTTCTAGTTGCCCCACGTTTACCAAGCACACGCCCTGCAGAGGGACAGTCCTCGGCAAAGCCTCCATCTATAGTGAGCAGTGCATCCCCTGACACCGCCCCAACTCGTGGTTCTTCTCTCAGAGCTTTTTTCCACCATGATAGTTCTTGGTGCAGAGAGGCACGTGATGAATGTGTCTGTCCTTCTCCATCTAGGTCCAGGACCCAGGGCCCATCTTCCATTTGTAGGTCCAGGCCCTCCCAGAGCGGAGTACCCTAGCATCTTGGTACCCAATGGCCCTCAAGCCAATAGGTGGGTCCTTGGGGGAAAGAAGGAGGCCTGGAGAATAGCAAAAAAAGTAGAATGTGTGGCTTGGGATGATTTTAATGAAACACGACTGCTGTTGAAGTTGGGGGAAGCTGGGATCTCATGCTTGGGATATAGGGCCCCGAGCCCCACTTTGTCTTTGCCCTTTAGCAATGTGAACAACCCTCACCCGGCTCTGGAAGCCCAGGGTATGCCCTGCTTCCTAAATGGCCTGATGGTAGGCCTCAGTGAAAGACAGGGTGCTGCAGGATGGGGGGATATGAAGCTTAAGCCAACTCCCTCCTTCTCTGGAGCCCACCAGCAGAGGTAAGGGCCAAATAGGGCAGAGGGAAGCTGAGGCCAAGGCAGGCTGCCTCCTGCTGTCTCCCCAGTCACCCCCACTGGCAAGCCCCTCCCTGCCTCTTTCAGGTCATCCAGGTGGCCCAGGGAAAGCCTCAGCAGGAGCCGCCAGAGGAGACCCATGGAGTCGGGCATCTGCACTATTGTGTGACCTCCCCCTGCCAGCCTCAGCCCTCATCCCTGAAGCACCTGTCCAACACGCACACACTAGGGGGTCCTGGGGACCAAGCCTCTTCCCAGTTGCTCAGCCCTGCAGGGATGTGGAACACAGTGCAGCCAGTGGACTCCTGAGGAGGCTGGCCAAGGGCTTTGCAGGCTCGGCCCTGAGAGGTTCTGTTTGTTCCTCCTTGGGATTTTTGGACTCAGTAGGTAAAAGAAAAAAGGAAAATGGATGGCAAATTCCCTGTCTTTCTGAATCCAAATCTTACGATTGCTAGGGGCCTGGCAGTTCTAAAAACTGACTTCGTGGTCAAGTAGCTTTGGAGTCACTGACTGTCTCCAGACGTCCATTTTTGCACATGAGAAATGAGGATATAATACTACAGAAGAGGCATCTTACCCAACCAATGCACCTTACTTCTCTGTGAAACACAGGGGATGCTGGGCGCAGGCCTAGGCTGTGGCCTGTAGCCTGTAGGACAGCTCCTGCCAGCAGCCACAGGAACAGTGATGTGATGTAACATTTCCCAAGTACTTAGCTCATGCCCCACCCTATTCTAGGTGCTTAGCTCAGGCCCCACCCTATTCTAGGTGCTTAGCTCAGGCCCCACCCTATTCTAGGTGCTTAGCTCATGCCCCACCCTATTCTAGGTGCTTAGCTCATGCCCCACCCTATTCTAGGTGCTTCACAAGTGTATTCTCCTCTAATCCTCACAACAAATATATGAGGTGCTATTATCCCCTTTCGCAAATGAGGAAAATAAGGCACAAAGCTTCAGTAATCTGAATTCCCAGGTCACATAACTAGTATGTAGAGAAGCTGGGAATCAAACCCAGGCAGTGAGCACTTTCTAGAATGCTGTGCAGTTCCACTTCCCCAGCTAAGCCCTTGCTTACCCAGAGTCCATTGTGATTTAATATCAAGTGTGTCTATGCCCGTTGTATGTGTTATTGTAATTCATAATGTAATTAAATACTATACACATTGATGAACAGGCCAGGTGAGATGGCTCACCCTTGTAATCCTAGCACTTTGCGAGGCCAAGGTGGGAGGATTGCTTGAGCCCAGGAGTTTGAGACCACCCTGGGCAACATAGTGAGACCCCATGTCAATGTAAAAGAAAATTTATCTTTAAAAAAAAATAAATTGATGAACTGAGAGTGGGAAAAGCAGCACTGTTTCTATAAAAACTAAGTTGGATCCTTAGAAGACTCGACTAAGGTAAGTTACTTTTTCTTTATTATTCTTATGCTTTATCTTCCAGTGATGGAGGAAAGAGTGAGTTTATTTATTTATTGAGACAGGGTCTTGCTCTGTTGCTCAGGCTGGAGTGCAGTGGCACGATCACATCTTACTGCAGCCTCAACCCCCTGGGCTCAAGCGATCTTCCCACCTCAGCCTCCCACTAGGAGTACAGGTGCACCACCATGCCAGGCTAATTAAAAAAAATATATAGAGAGAGAGACAGGGTCTCACTATGTTGCCCAGACTGGTCTCAAACTCCTGGGCTCAAGCCATCTTCCCGCCTTGGTGTCCCAAAGTGTTAGGATTACAGATGTGAGTCACTGCACCCAGCCTGTGAGTCACTTTATTTTTTTGTTTGTTTGTTTATTTATTTATTGAGAGGGAGTCTCGCTCTGTCTCCCAGGCTGGAGTGCAATGGCGTGATCTCGGCTCACTGCAACCTCCACCTTCCGGGTTCAAGTGGTTCTCCTACCTCAGCCTCCCGAGTAGCTGGGATTACAGGTGCAAGCCACCAAGCCCGGCTAATTTTTGTATTTTCAGTAGAGATAGGGTTTCGCCATGTTGGCCAGGCTGGTCTCAAACTCCTGGCCTCAGGTGATCCGCCTGCCTCGGTCTTCCAAAGTGTTAGGGTTACAGGTGTGAGCCACTGCGGCTGGCCTCTGTGAGTTACTTTAAAAAGCTACCGTGGGCTGGGCACAGTAGCTTATGCCTGTAATCCCAGCACTTTGGGAGGCCAAGGTGGATGGATCACTTGAGGCCAGGAGTTTGAGACCGGCCTGGCCAACATGGCGAAACCCTGTCTGTACTAAAAATACAAAAAATCAGTGGGGCATGGTGGTGCATGCCTGTAATCTCAGCTACTTGGGAGCCTGAGGCAGGATAATTCACTTGAAACTGGAAGGTGGAGGTTGCAGTGAGCCAAGATCATGCCACTGCACTCCAGCCTAGGCAACAGAGTGAGACTCTGCCTCAAAAGAAAAGATAAAAGCTGCTATGCAATTAGATGTGAGCAACAAGATTATTACAAATTGGGGGAATAATAATAAAAATATAAATTCTGCACTCAAGATTGCTTCAAACATGCCATTAACTGTTTCACTTTAAGGAAGCAAACTGGAAATTGCGGGTGATACATAACTGGTGAGGTTTATGTAAGAAAGAAGATGAGGAATCTAATCACAGGCTCCATCCTCAAAGAAAAGACCCTGGCCACACTTTGACAGATGGAAAATTAATGTATTTTTTAAAGTTGAAATAAAATAATCCACTCCTGATCATGTCAGATAAGAGAAAGTAGGGAAGGCAAAACTTTACCTCCACTCTCTTAGGGTCTCTAGCTGGGACAGAGAATTAAATTGACATAAAACAGATTAACAAGAGAAAAGCATACAGATTTACTTAATATAAATTTTATGTGACACAGGAGCCCTCATAAAGCAATGAAGACCCAAAGAAGGAAAACCTAAATGTTTTGTACTAGGTCGAACAAAGAGCCAATTGTGGAAAAGCAGCTAAAATATATGGGGAGGCCAGTCGCAGGGGCTCACACCTGTAATCCCAGCACTTTGGGAGGCCAAGGTGGGTGGATCAGTTGAGCCCAGGAGTTTGAGACCAACCTGGGCAACATGGTGAGACCCCATCTCTACAAAAACTACAAAAATTAGCCAGGTGTGGTGGTGTATGCCTGTAGTCCCAGCTACTAGGGAAGCTGAGGCAGGAGAATCGCTCGAACCCAGGAGTCAGAGGTTGCAGTGAGCCGAGATCATGCCACTGCACTGCAGCCTGGGTGACCGAGTGAGACTCTATCTCCAAAAAAATAATAAAAATAAAATATATGGGGAGGCTAAAGGAAGATAAGAGATATTTTAACAAGGTCTGTTTGTACAGAATTCTCTCAGCTTCGACTCCCTGTCTCTGGTGATAAGAATGTTTCTTTCCTCCTGGAGGAAGGCATTCATTGTTCACATGGGAGTTTTGTTTCCTGCTTTCAGGAAGAAAAGGGGAGGTTAGAGCACTCTTCTTATACTTACCGTTTTTCTTTTTCTTTTCTTTTTTTTTTGGGGGGGGGGGATGGAGTCTGGCTCTGTCGCCCAGACTGGAGTGCAGTGGCATGATCTTGGCACACTGCAACCTCCTCTTCCCAGATTCAAGCGATTCTCCTGCCTCAGCCTCCTGAGTAGCTGGGGTTACAGGCGCTCGCCACCCACGCCCTGCTAATTTTTTTTGTATTTTTAGTAGAGATGGGGTTTCACCATGTTGGCCAGGCTGGTCTCGAACTCCTGACATCAGGTGATCCACCTGCCTTGGCCTCCCAAAGTGTTGGGATTACAGGTGTGAGCCAGTGCATCCAGCCCTAATTTTTGTATTTTTAGTAGAGGTGGTGTTTCACCATGTTGGCCAGGCTGGTCTCGAACTCCTGACATCAGGTGATCCACCTGCCTTGGCCTCCCAAAGTGTTGGGATTACAGGTGTGAGCCAGTGCATCCAGCCCTAATTTTTGTATTTTTAGTAGAGGTGGTGTTTCACCATGTTGGCCAGGCTGGTCTTGAACTCCTGACCTCAAATGATCCACTCACCTTGGCCTCCCAAACTGCTGGGATTACAGGCGTGAGCCACTGTGCCCTGCCAAGACCTCGCTTCTACAAAAAATATGAAAATTAGTCGGGTGTGGTGGCACGTGCCTGTAGTCCCAGTTACTGGGGAGGCTGAGGCTGGAGGATCACTTGATCCCAGAGGTCCAGGCTGCAGTGAGCCATGATCAGGCGGCTGCACTGCAGCCTGAGTGACAGAGCGAGACCCTGTCTAAAAAACAAAAAAAAACCTTCCCTTTACCTGTGTCTTAGCTTGGGCTATCATAATAAAATATCATAGATTGGATGCTCAAGCAACAAATTAATTTCCTGACAGTTATGGGGACTGGAAGTCAGATTAGGGTTCCAGTATGGTGACAGAGAGGAGGGGCAGTGAGAGGAAGAAAGTCTTATAAGGGCACTAATTCTACCAGTTCAGGGACTACCTCTTATATCCCAACTAATGCTAATCCCAACCACCCTGTCTCCGAATACCATTACACTGGGGGTTAGGGCTTCAACATATGAATTTGTGAGGGAGGAAGGGAAGGGAACACAAACATTGAATCCATAGCAGTCTGGATAATTATCTTTATCTTAGTGCCTTGATGGTAACTGGTTTGTTACTCTCCAACCTTTTCCCCTAACCACGCAAGAGAGTGTGTTTGCATTCTCAAAACCACTAGCCTAAACTCTACTCCTCCTCTCAAGACTTCTAGTGAAACATCATCGTGACCTGGAGCCTATGGTTTCAATTACGTTTTAAACCATAGCTTACCCAAACTATTTAAGGATAATTTTATATTTCCATAGCTATTATCTCAGTAAAGGGGTTAAGCATGACTCGGGAAGTACAGCATGATACCCTGGTAAAACAGAGGTAGGGGAAGCTAATGTAGTGTAGAGGGGGCCTAAGTTACATAGGCTTGGTGGTGTAAATAAGAACAGTAGCTTAATTTCTATACCACGCCCTCTGCGACGGTTTGCAGGCATTAGCACCTATGGAAGTATGTACTCGTTTCCCTGTTGTATAGGCGAAAAACTGACACCAGCAGTTCCCACATTCACTCAGCCACTAAGCAGTGGGGCAGGAATCAAGGCTAACTGCTATGCCATCCATACACCTTTCTGAAAGAGTTACAAAATCAGCACTTATTATCAAAGGGCCGTTGGGAGCAAGGCATTTCGGCGTATCTGGAAATGTGTGGCGATCTGTAAACGCTCCTGAGGAGAGCTGGAATCCCAAGTGGAAGGGAAGCTGGACCGGGTGGGAACTGCTCCCCAGCCCAAGGGCTGCTAGAACCCCAAGACTCCAGCCCCGAGCGGCTTCCGGAATCCGCGCGTGCTGGCCCGGCCTCTTCGGGGGCGGGGCGAGCGCCGCACATGCGCCGGGGCCGGGCCGGGCCGGGGGCGCGCGCTCTGCGAGCTGGATGTCCAGGCTGCGGGCGCTGCTGGGCCTCGGGCTGCTGGTTGCGGGCTCGCGCGTGCCGCGGATCAAAAGCCAGACCATCGCCTGTCGCTCGGGACCCACCTGGTGGGGACCGCAGCGGCTGAACTCGGGTGGCCGCTGGGACTCAGAGGTCATGGCGAGCACGGTGGTGAAGTACCTGAGGTAGGCACGGGTCTCGGGTGGCCTGCTCTGCCCCGGGGCGGGGCCTGGGACGGCCGGGCCACCTGCGCGACAGAGAACACGAGGGGCGGGACTCAGGCCGCGGGTTTTCCTCAGCCAGGAGGAGGCCCAGGCCGTGGACCAGGAGCTATTTAACGAATACCAGTTCAGCGTGGACCAACTTATGGAACTGGCCGGGCTGAGCTGTGCTACAGCCATCGCCAAGGTCAGTGGCACAACTCTCGACCTTTGGGAGCAGCCAGGGAGGAGTCACTGTCCCAGCCCCCTGGCCTAGGCACAAAGGGGTGGGAGAGACAGCTGGGCCAATATGGTCTATTACCGCCTGAAACCCCGCCGAACCACCCTTGACTCTGCCTTCAGGCATATCCCCCCACGTCCATGTCCAGGAGCCCCCCTACTGTCCTGGTCATCTGTGGCCCGGGGAATAATGGAGGAGATGGTCTGGTCTGTGCTCGACACCTCAAACTCTTTGTGAGTATGTGGGGAGGGGCTGTGGGGGAGGAGGGCGTGAGGGCTCTGGGATCTGGGGTTGAATTACCACTTTCTTCCTAGGGCTACGAGCCAACCATCTATTACCCCAAAAGGCCTAACAAGCCCCTCTTCACTGCATTGGTGACCCAGTGTCAGAAAATGGACATCCCTTTCCTTGGGGAAATGCCCGCAGAGGTAGGTGGCTCCAGTTGAATACCTCCATCCTACAGTAACCACTGCCTGTGCTCTGCTCTTCCTTCGTGTTTCCAGGCTGAGCTCATTTTAGTGCCTGGTACGGAAGGTGCCTAACGGATGGTATTCGAATAAGTGTGCAAGAGCCTTCTCCTCCTTCATAAAGTGTGCTCCATGAGTCCCACACACCACCTTCTCTAAAGCTTCCTTGCCCTTTCATCTCCCTGGTCCCTCCTTCCACTCTGTAGTCAGATCCTCTTGCCCTAGCATGCAGTAAACACATGATCTACCCCTCAGGGGCCGGAGTGGCTGCCCTATCTGAAACCCTTCCTGCAGATGCATGGATTAAGGGATGGGAAATTGGGTAATTTTTTTCCTTAACCCATTTTACAGATGAAGATACTGAGGTGCAGAGAAGTGGTTTGCTTAAAGTCACTAAATTGTATCATGGCAGAGCTGAAACCAGAATCTGGCTCTCCTGACTCGTCTCAGGCTATCTCAGCCTGTAGCCTCCCCAGTGGTGGGCAGGCAGGCAGGCACCGAGAACAAAAACTGTCTGGTCTCAATTTGGCCTGAATCAGTGACCAACTCACACTTTCTCTAGGCCTCAGGCTGCCCTCTGAATGAGACACAATACTTGTGCCTCTGAGAATGGTCTGCAGGTGCAGAGGACAGCCCTCTCCAGTTAAGGCTGTTTGTGCAGCTGCTGGCTCTGACATCCTTTTCCTGCTCCACCACAGCCCATGACGATTGATGAACTGTATGAGCTGGTGGTGGATGCCATCTTTGGCTTCAGCTTCAAGGGCGATGTTCGGGAACCGTTCCACAGCATCCTGAGTGTCCTGAAGGGACTCACTGTGCCCATTGCCAGCATCGACATTCCCTCAGGTGCTGGGATCCAGAAGGTGGGGTGGGGGAGATTGGGGCCCTACCCTCCTGACTCTTGCCCACACCAGGTCTAAAATAATTTTAGTCTAGAGGGGCAGAACACAGCTTTCTGGACCCCCATCAGGGCTGGGGAACAGTGTTCAGAAGTCCCCTTTACATGTTGGCCCCATGAAGAGACCACGGCCCAAGGGTACGTGGAGCTCGTTGGACGAGAGTTCCTCAGGTGGGAACTGAGGGGACTTCCCACTCCTCTGGGACTAGGGTAAACTAAGGTGTAGAAGGGGACGAGACATCTGGCCTCTTCCTGAACACCACCCTCTTTTCAGGATGGGACGTGGAGAAGGGAAATGCTGGAGGGATCCAGCCAGACTTGCTCATATCCCTCACAGCCCCCAAAAAATCTGCAACCCAGTTTACCGGTCGCTACCATTACCTGGGGGGTCGTTTTGTGCCACCTGCTCTGGAGAAGAAGTACCAGCTGAACCTGCCACCCTACCCTGACACCGAGTGTGTCTATCGTCTGCAGTGAGGGAAGGTGGGTGGGTATTCTTCCCAATAAAGACTTAGAGCCCCTCTCTTCCAGAACTGTGGATTCCTGGGAGCTCCTCTGGCAATAAAAGTCAGTGAATGGTGGAAGTCAGAGACCAACCCTGGGGATTGGGTGCCATCTCTCTAGGGGTAACACAAAGGGCAAGAGGTTGCTATGGTATTTGGAAACAATGAAAATGGACTGTTAGATGCCAAGTGAGTTGTGCTGTCCTTTACACAATTCTTATTCATTTGGGACACAGACAGGGAGCTACTTCTACTTATCAGTGTAGCAAGACTACAAAGAGGTTAACCGAAGGAATTTCTTCAAAGGCCTCCAAGGAATATCTTCTAATTTGTATTCAGGACCTTCCCAGGCTGGGAACAGAGATGCCAGTCAGGATTTATCTCTAGGCTAGGAGCGCAAGCTCATGTTTATTCATTCATTTGGTAGCGCTAGAAACTGGCAACTGTGGGCTAAATCTAGCCCATAGACCTAAATTTATGTTTTTCTTAACCTTCACAATATTTAGAAATCAGAGCACTTCACATAGGTCTACATTTTCAGCTTCTTTTAGCAGGAATGCTCCTTCAAAGGGTATCTGCATTCCTGTTCCCACAGCCCCCAGCATTCCTTGTCCTTTAGCTGCCTGGCTTCTCTAGGCACCTGAGTTCATGGTCCTGGGTTAGAAGCTGCAGAAAGGACTGTGCTGACTCCCTCAACTAAGGGGTGGTACTACCGCTTGCTCCTCTCAGCAGCTGACGTCCCAGAGATCAGTTTCCTTTCTGGGAGGGACTCCTCATTGAGGGGGGTGCAGAAGACCTGCAGACCTGCATCAACCCTGGTCTTTGAGGCTTCAACTCCTGAAAATCAATCAATTGAGCCCTACCTTTACCAGACCTTTAGTCTCTCTTCTTCTGTTTCTTTTTGGCTTTCTGGACAGTGCTGACTCCAGCTCTTTCCTTCTTGGGATGCTGCTGCCTCTTCCTCTTACCTCTGCTGCTTGAGCCAGTGTGTGCTCTGCTCTCTGCTTCCCTAGCCCCGCCATCCTTCTCATCCCTTACATCCAAGATGTCCTCCTCCTCTTGATGCTGCTGTCTTTTCTTCTTGCTTTTCCTGCTTCTTCCATCACTGCATGCTCTGCTCTCTGCTTCCCTGGTTCCACCACCTAAAACAGTTTCCTCACCTCTATCTTCTAGGTTCAAGTCCTCCTCCTCCTGTTGCTGCCTCTTCTTTCTTCGGCTGCATGGGTCAGCATATGCCCTGCTCTCTACCTCCTCTGTCCTGACACTGCCTGCAGCCTCCTTGCCTTTTCCTCCTTCCTCCAAGACCCCCATCTTCTCCTCTTCATGGTGCCACCTCTTCTTTTTCTTCCCTTTCCTGAGGGACTGATTGGTTTGCTCTCTGCTATTCAATTCCCCAAGCCCACTTGTTCCTGCAGCGTCCTCCTTCTCATTCCCTTTAGTTGTACCCTCTCTTTCATCTGAGACCTTTCCTTCTTGATGTCGCCTTTTCTTCTTCTTGCTTTTTCTGATGTTCTGCTCAGCATGTTCTGGGTGCTTCTCATCTGCATCATTCCTTTCAGATGCTGTAGCTTCTTCCTCCTCTTTCTGCCTCCTTTTCTTTTTCTTTTTTTTGGGGGGCTTGCTCTCTGACTGCAGTTGAGGGGCCCCAGGGTCCTGGCCTTTGAGACGAGCCAGGAAGGCCTGCTCCTGGGCCTCTAGGCGAGCAAGCTTGGCCTTCATTGTGATCCCAAGACGGGCAGCCCTGAAACAGACAGGGTCCAAGTCAAAGCGAGGGTATCGGGGGAAATGGGCCTAGTCCTTAAGCCTGCAGGGAAAGTTGGTGGAGGGTAGGAGTGGGGAGCTGCCTATCTTCAGGCAATAGATGGGTAGGTAATAGGAATCATTTCCCTGGGGTAAAAAGAACCAAGAGGTGGCACAGGCCATGGTCAAAGGTGGGGAGAAAAGGGAGCTCAAGGAGCTGACCACTACTTACTTGTGTGCTGTTCGCCCCTCACAGGCTTGGAGCAGCATCTCATCAGTCAGACTGTTAGGGGAGATCAGCAGTTACAAACAGACCTGGTGGAAAGGCTTGACCTCTCCTCCTTCTAAAACATTCCTTCAACACTGAATTCTTGTTCAGGACCTGGCACTTTTTGAGGTACTAGGGATACAAAGATTAGTACAACACAGTTCCACCCACCCCCAAGAAGCCCCCAGTCAAGCATTAGATTTAGCCCTTTCTCTTGCCATCTGAAGACATCTCTTCCCACATTCCCCAAGAGCTAAAATGAAGTCTCACATCTTTGGGGACTTGGACCCCTGGTTGTCGTCATCACTGCAGCTCTCCAAGTCTTTGTTTGGCTTCTCTCCACCTGAAGTCAATGTAGCCATCTAGGAGGGGTCATGGGGGTAGATAAGGCCTTCTCAACACCATCACCATCCCTATTCCCTTGTGGAAGCCCCCTAAGAATTTATAGCTCCAGGCAGTGGTTTGCCAGCCCCCACCATTGCTCCTTGAGGAGCCACAGGGAGGTGTGCCATCCTGCATACTCGAACTTGGATAGGAGATGGGCTGCTGCTGCTGGGATGTGCAGCAGCTTTGGCCTCTCTCACCCACAGCTGGCTGGTGAGCAGAACAAGAAGAGGAAATGCTCTGGTTCATCAGGTCTTCACAGTGGACAAGTGCCAGTGACTGACAGTAAAGATGCCCCGCTCCACCCCGACCATAGTACCTGTTCACAGTACCTTCATTTAATCAGATTAATTGAGAGTCTACTATGGGCCAAGGAGTTGGGGATTCAGAGTGGAATAAGAATGAGATGGGCCCAGCCCAGATGGAATCTACATAGGCAATTATGATGGAAGTGTTGCCTGTGATAGAGGAAGGGTACTCAACTCAGACTTCAGAGAATGGCTTCTAAAAGTAACTGATGTATAAGCTGAGCTCTGGAGGATAAGAGAAACTCAGAAGGTAAAGGGGGAAAGGGAGAAGAATGTCCCAAGCAGAGGGAGCAACATGTGCAATAACCTGAAGATGGAAGACTGTCGTACCTTCAAAGAAAAGAAACAGATTGGAATCTGTTATGCTAATGGTTAGGCTAAAGTAGTGGTCCTGGAGAAAAGTGAAGAGATGAGGCTGGAGATGGCAGGAACAGGCATGCAGAGCCATATAAGCCAGTCCGATAAATCTGGATTGTGTCATCCTAGGTCAAACAAGACCCAGTGACATGATGACATTTATGTTTTAGAGAGAACACTGGATGCTTTGTGGAGAAGTCCATCCTCCACAAAGGTTGGGGTGGGGAGTGAGACTACAGGTGTTCTTAGGAGGCTGCTGGAGAAAGAAATTAGGCAAGAGATGATGATGGCCCGAAGTGGGGTAGTAGATGGTAACAGAGATGTAGAGAAATGGGAAAGATTTGCTAGGTAACATGTATAGCCCTTAGCACATAATGACCATTACATGTTAGCTTCCTCCTATTGGTACAGTAGAAAGTGGAGGCCTGAAGTCCTGGGTTCCAGTCCTGTTTGCCATTACTAGCCAGCTGTGGGCTCTTCAGCAAACCACTTTTCACCCTTTTAGCCACATCTGCAAAGCAGGGATGGTCCAGATAATCTCTCAGGTCTCCTCTGGCTTCTAAGTCCTTTGAATTAGATGTCCCCTGGCCCCCCCAAAATTTGGCAGCTCCTGACTTAAGAGACTGTACCCTACCTCCCACGCCCTATTGCTGCTCCCTTAACAGATGGCAGGATCCACGGAACCTGAAGATCTCAATTCCTGCTGAGGGTCTGGGCAGTCTAAGTAAGCAACAGCAAGGCTGGTCACAGGATCCCACTATGTTAGGAAAGTTCTGAGAATTGATAAGGCATACAAGGCAACTGTTCAGGCCCCAGGGAAACCAGGGAAGAGAAAAAGGATGGACTCTGTTACCCACAGCCTCTAATACCTTCACAAACTTCTGATACAGCAAGTTGGGCTTGGGATGATTATAACGGGTGGTCTCCTTAGAAAGGCTCCTTATCTGTACTCCATCCTGTAGAGAATTATCAGTACCAGTGAATGGGTGACATATCATGACTGCCTACGCCACAGGTCCCAGGCCCTCTGTTTCATGTGCCCATCTATCAAGAGCTCATACCTGCCCAGTTTCCACTACCAAGTTGGCCGCAGTCTTGTTGAAGAGCTCATTCCACCAGTGGTTTGTGAACTCCTTGGCAGGGTCATGTCCTACCTGCCAGGGGAATAAATATGAGCTCTGAGTGCCTGCCTCACCTGCCCTCAAGGGTCCCCTCTCCCACACATGCTAACCTTCCTCAGTCCACCCAGTCTTACCCCATGAGTGTCTTGCTTCAGTGTCACCCTGAGAGCCTGAGTGATACCATTCTCCTTCCGGCCGAGGCCTTTGCCTGCAGAGGACAGTGAGCGATTTGGCTTATTCTCCTGCCTGCTGTGAGACCTCACAAGGCACCCCCCACACAGGCCTCTTGCCATTCCACACACCTGACATTGGGGTATACTCTGTACCTCTCAGAAGACCTCCTAGCGCACTTCTTTCTAGTACCACTCCATATAGTCCCCTGCCTTTGTGTGAGCCTGAACTATCTCTTCCTTCAAATTCTTTTGGTAGAGAGCCCATATCTCTTTTTCCCTCCCCTAGTCCTCCCAACCACCACTTCTTCATTATCCACTGTCAAATTTCTTCCTTTCTTCCCTTTTCTGGGAAAGTTAGAAATTTTCTTCTGCAAATTTCCCTTTAAACTAGCTTTTCCTCCTTTAATTAAATGGACTACATGGGGGGGTAATCCAGGATGATGGCTTTCCCCTGGGCAGATGGTAGGCAGGGAGCTGGGGGATGTGGAAGAGGCCCCATGGGGATCACCTTGAGTCCATCCATGCTTTAGCAGCTGCTCCTCAGCAAACTTCATCCCACGACTCTTGACCTCTGGGGTGACATTCATGGTGAGAAAAAAGTCTCTATCCTCAGACTCTCACCAGAGAAGAAGAGGTGATATCATCCTTTTAAGAAGAAAGTAGAAAGTGCCCAAACAGCCATCAGTTCCATCCTGACTGCTTGTTAAGAATTCTCTGCTAGTTGGGTGCAGTGGCACACACCTGTAGTCCCAGCTACATGGGAGGCTGAGGCGGGATTGCTTGAGTCCAGCCTGGGCAGTATAGCAAGACCCTCTCTCATAAAAAGAATAAAGCGGCCAGGCACAGTGGTTCACATTTGTAATCCCAGCACTTTGGAAGGCCAAGGTAGAAGAATCACTTGAGCCCAGGAGTTCCAGACCAGTGTGGGCAACGTAGTGAAACCCTGCCTCTAGAAAAAATAAAAAATTAAAAAGAAAGAAAAAAGAATTCTCTTTCCTGAGCCAGAGACAGAGGAAGGAGGTGGCCTGGTCTTTGGGGAGCTCCCTATCTGGCTACAGAAAGAGCATATAGAGAAGTCAAGGAGGAATGGTGTCAATTCTGATACCTAAGTTTATGGTGTGCTCACCACATGCCAGGATGTGCTAAGACTTTACAAAGATTATTTCATTTAATCTTCCCAGCCCATTCAGGGAAATATTAGCCTATTTTACAAATGAGTAAAGTAAGGCCTAAAAAGGTTAAGTGACTTCAAGGTCACACAGGTAACATGTAGAATTCAAGCCCAGGCAGCTTGTCTGCAGAATCTGTACTGTACCACTACATAGTATCTCCCAAAATATATTACCTTGTAAACACAAAGCTAATGAGGTGCTTATTAACCTGAGTCATAAGATAATGGTACTCGGTAGAGACCAGATCCTGTACTTATGCTTCAGCATTTACACTGTCCTCTTGGTGTGGGGGCTACACACTTCTCCCACACCACTGCAGTATTTCAGTCTGGCTGGAGTTCCCCTTTTGAAAGTGTCCAACTTAGGAAGGGCACTCCTATTGAGCACTTAATGCATAACAGGTGGATTACACATATTGCCACACTGTCATATTAACTCAGTCAATCTTTTTTTTTTTTTTTTTTTTGAGACAGGGTTGCTCTGTCGCCCAGGCTGGATGGAGTGGAGTGCAGTGGCACGATCATGGCTCATTGCAGCCTCAAACTTCCAGGCTCAAGCAATCCTCCCACCTCAGCCTCCCAAGTAGCTAGGACCACAGGCACATGCCACCACGCCTGGCTAATTTTTGTATTTTTTTTTGTACAGACAGGGTTTTGCCATGTTGCCCAGGCTGGTCTCTAACTCCTGGGCTCAAGCGATCTGCCTACCTCTGCTTTCCAAAATGCTGGGATTACAGGCGTGAGCCACTATGTGTGGGCTTAACTCATTTAATCTTGATAGTCCTGTGAGATAGATATTATTCTTATTTTACAAATGAAGAAAACAAGGCCTGGGTTTCTTGCCTAAGGTTACATGGCTAGTAAATGATGGAGCTGGAATTACATGATGGAGGTGGAATGAGCCCAAGTCGCCTGACTCCAAAGTGGTCCTCTGTCTTTCTTTTTTTTTTCTTTTTTGATACGGAGTCTCACTCTGTCACCCAGTCTGGAGTACAGTGGTGCGATCTTGGCTCACTGCAACCTCCACCTCCCAGCTTCAAGCGATTCTCCTGTCTCAGCCTCCGAGTAGCTGGGACTACAAGGCTCATGCCACCATGCCCGGCTAATTTTTGTATTTTTAGTAGAGATAGGGTTTCCCCATATTGGCCAGGGGCTGGTCTCGAACTCCTGACCTCTGGTGATCCACCTGACTCGACCTACCAAAGTGCTGGGATTACAGGCGTGAGCCAAGGCACCCGGCCAAAAACTGATGTTCTTCATCACTACACTCTTCAGTCTCTTACAGCTCTTTGTGCTTTCTCCTGTAAGACCACACACAGCCTAACCCTTGTCGCAATAATTGAAAACTACATGCCCTGGAAGTTAAGAGACCGGCTTTATTCCGCCACTCCAGAGCACGTAACGCGGCGCCAGAACTCAAGAATACATTCAGTCGTTATTTGTTGAACTGAATGGCATAGTTAGGAATGGCTTTACCGGATTTTCAGTGGATAACTGGGTAGAAGCTGTGCGCCCCAGTCTTTCTGAAACCTGTGATCACACTTCGGGCACTGTCCCCTCTACAGTCAATCTGTGTTTTCAGAAGTGGCCCCAGGTTCACTCGTCTTACAGCAGTCCTAAAGAGCCGGCTGCCCTTTCCCTAGGCTTCCTTGCTCTTGAGGGCTAAATTCCAGCCCTCCTACCCCAGTGCCACTTGGGTAAAAATACTCTGCTCCTCTCACGTTTGCTAATAAGCCCGGGCTCCGACTACCACCGTTCGGGGGAAGGGAGCCCCTTACCGTCATTGCTGGGTCCGCTCCGCGGAAACATGTGCCGGACCTGACTTGTGCGCCGCCATCTTCCCGGAAATGCCGTTTTGTTCCTTCTAGGCTGTCGAAACCATAGAGACGTCCGCGGGAACCAAAATCACGGTTTTTCCAGGAGAAACCATTGCGGAGCCCAATTTGCCGGTATGGTTGCCATAGAAACTGGGACCTGGAGCGTGCCCATTTTCGGAGGTTCCGAGGCTGTTCCACTTGCCTCATCCCTGCAATCCTTGAGCAGCCAAGGGACTTCAGTACTAACTGGCCCTCTCAGGATGCCAAGAACGGCTCCGCGTCCTACACTGAGCTAGTCCCGGGCGCAAATACGAGGAAGGAAAACTCCAGGGAAGCATTGAGAGTAGCCTGAGAAATTCGTGGAGGCAGAGTAGGTGATAGCTGTGTCCTGATTTTTCAGGGTTGAATACTCATGAATACTCAGCCTTCACAGGAACAGTTATTTATGAAAGCCTAGAGACTAGACATCTCAATAGGTTCATCAAGCACTTTTTTTTTTTTTCTGAGACAGGGTCTCGCTCTGTTGCCCAGACTTGAGGGCAGTGGCGCGATATCGACTCACTCACTGTAACCTCCGCCTCCTGGGCTCAAGTGATCCTCCCATCTCAGCCTCGTGAGTATCTGGTACCACAGTCATGCACCGCCACGCCTGGCTAATTTCTGTATTTTTTTTGTAGAGAAGGGGTCTTGCCATGTTGTACAGGCTGGTCTCCAATCCCTGGCCTTAAGTGATATGCACACCTCGGCTTCCCAAAGTGTTGGGATTACAGGCGTAAGCCACCGTGACCGGCCTCATCAAACACTTTTTGACTCACCATTGTGTGCCAGAACTTGTCCCTTTGGTACTGG
Organism: Homo sapiens; assembly: GCF_000001405.40. Taxonomy (NCBI): domain Eukaryota; kingdom Metazoa; phylum Chordata; class Mammalia; order Primates; family Hominidae; genus Homo; species Homo sapiens. The sequence goes on from NW_025791758.1 coordinate 160,856, forward strand.
GGGATAAAAAGACGCATAAGACACAGGTCTTGATTTAGGGGAACACCCAGTCTAGCCTGGGAAACTTGGGACCTTGAGTGGGATTAGATGGAGGACATGCCAGTGGGACTTGGAGAAAGATACAGGATGGGTGAGACGCGGTGGCTCATGCCTGTAATCCCAGCACTTTGGGAGGCCAAGACAGGCAGATAGCTTGAGCCCAGAAGTTCAAGACCAGCCTGGGCAAAATGGCGAGACACCGACTAAAAATACCAAAAAAAAAAAAAAAAAAAAAAAAAAGCCGGGCATGGTGGTGCACGCCTGTGGGTCCCAGCTACTGAGGTGGGAGGATCCCTTCAGCCCGCTGTGGGAGTGAGGGGAGGGCGGAGGTTGCAGTGAGCCAGAAAAAAAAAAAGCAGGATCCCAGAATGCATGCCAGGCTGAGGAGTTTGGACTTGCCCTGTCGGTATGAGGATGTATTGAGCAAAGGAGGGAAAGAAGATACAGCAAAAGGGACTGCACATGCCCCTACCCCTGCAAGCTGTTCCTTGGCCTCACTGAGCCACCCAAGAACTAAAACCCGAGAAAAGTATCCTTTTCTGCCTCCCCATATCGGTATTTCCGTTGACTTAGCGCCCCCTAGAAACTTCCAAACAGAAAAATCGCCATTTCACAGGAGAGCCTTGTCATAATTGCCCTGTATGTCATACCCATTCATCCCCATAATTTTTTCCATAAAATTAATTTTACTTTCAAAACATGCTACATGGGGACAATACTTTAAACGATCGATCTTAATTACTGGAATTTTAGACACTTGCAGAAGGGATGTGGGATGCTTCAAAGGCATTCCTTAGAGATGGATTCAACAGAGAAACATTTTGTGGAGAGACATCTGACTCCTTTTCCCATTCTGCCACTCATTGTGTGACCTTGAACAATTTTTTTTTTTTTTGAGATGGGGTTTCCCTGTGTTTCCCAGGCTGGCCTTGGACTCCTGGGCTCAAATGATCCTCCTGCCTCAGCCTCCCAAGTAGCTGGGAGTACGGGTGCATGCCACTGTGCCGGGGCAAACTTGAGTTTCGCTGCAGTGTCCTGCAGCCACTGAGAAAATTCCACAGACAGGGCTTCAATTTCCACCCACCCCCACCTCTCCATCTCTTCTACCCCTTCTATCTAAAATATATGTGTGTGTGTATTATATACAAAATTGTATGTTATATAGAATATTTCATATATGTGTGTATGTATGTACATATACATATACAGGTATATATATGAAATATATAAGAAGTTTTAAAATTCCGAATGAGGTAACCCTCAAGGACCCTTTCCAACTTAGAGTTTTAGTGTGATGCACTTTGCCAGCCACTCCCAAAACTTAATGGCCATAAATCTTTGAATCAAGATTCCTAGTCTGGCCTAAGTCTTTGAGCTCACTGTTGTGCCTGATTCACTCATTCAATAAATATTTATTAAAGGTCTCCTATATACTAAGGGCTAGAGGTATAAAAAGGTCCATCTCTTGTCCTGTTAGGCCTCACGATCTTGTGGGGGTTTAAACTAGTTACCAGGCATTTATATCATTGAGTAATAAGAGTTATGGCAAGGTCAGGACACAGTGCTATGGGGATAAGATGAGAAGCATCTGACCCAGTCTGAGACCCCTGGGAGCTTCTTGAAGAAGTCACTGAGGCTGCAGCCTGTCCCTGGGGGCTATGAGAGATCACAAGAGAAATGGGTCTCAAGGAGTTCGCAGTTTAATGGGGTCTCATACCTCCTCACAAGGGTAGAAACAAAGGCCATTATGAGAGAAAAAGAATACATGAATACTTATAAGGAAATGGCCTGAAATGCAGATAACAAGATGCATAGAAATATTTATTACAGTAATATTTATAAAATGGAAAAATTGGAAAGAATCAAAATATCTCACAACAGGAGAAAGTCTACATAAATTACAGTGTAAACATACAATGGACTAATGTGTAGTCTTCAACAATGATGTTGAAGAATTCTTTTTTTTTTCTTTTTTTTTTTGAGACAGAGTCTCTATCGCCAGGCTGGAGTGCAGTGGCACGATCTTGGTTCACTGCAACCTCCACCTCCTAGGTTCAAGCGATTCTGCCTCAGCCACCTGAGTAGCTGGGACTACAGGTGCGTGCCACCACGCCCAGCTAATTTTTGTATTTTCAGTAGAGATGGGGTTTCACCATGTTGGCCAGGATGGTCTCGATCTCTTGACCTCATGATCTGCCTGCCTTGGCCTCCCAAAGTACTGGGATTAAAGGCGGAGCCACCGTGCCCGGCCAAAGAATTCTTAATAGCTTGGGTACATGTCTGTGATATAATTGAAATGAAAAAAGAAGATACAAAATGTTACCTACAGTAAGAACCTATCTATGTTAAAAATTCATAGGCAATAGGATCAAAAGTAATAAAATACTTAGGAATACATTTAACAAAAGATGTGCAAGCTTTATACATTGAAGCTACAAAACCTCATTGAAAGAAATTAGGAAGAGCTAAATAAATGGAAAGATACCCTGTGTTCATGGAATAGAAGACAATATTGTTAAGATGACAATACTCTCCAAATTGATCTATAAATTCAACACAATCTCTATAAAAAATCCCAGCTGGCTTTTTTTTTTTTTTGCATAAATCAACAAGTCCATCCTAGAAGTCATATAGAAATGCAAAGGACCAGCTGGGAGCAGTGGCTCACACCTGTAATCCCAGCACTTTGGGAGGCCGAGGTGGGAGGATCATTTGAGGTCAGGAGTTCGAGACCAGCCTGGCCAATATGGTGAAACCCCGTCTCTACTAAAACTACAAAAATTAACCAGGTGTGGTAGCACGAATCTGTAATACCAGCTATTTGGGAGGCTGAGGCACGAGGATCGCTTGAACCTGGGAAGTGGAGGTTGCAGTGAGCCGAGATCACACCACTGCACTCCAGCCTGTACGATAGGGTGAGACTCCGTCTGAAAAAGAAAAAAAAAGAGAGAGAAAAGAAAAGAATAGAAATGTAGGCCGGGCATGGTGGCTCACGCCTGTAATCCTAGCACTTTGCGAGGCCGACATGGTCAGATTACCTGAGGTTGGGAGTTCAAGACCAGCCTGGCTAACATGGTGAAACCCTGTCTCTAATAAAAAAAAAAAATACAAAAAATTAGCCGGGTGCAGTGACGTGCACCTGTAATCCCAGCTACTCTGGAGGCTGGGCAGGAGAATCTCTTGAACCCGGGAGGCAGAGTTTTTGGTGAGCTGAGATCATGCCACTGCACTCCAGCCTGGGCTACAGAGCGAGACTTGGTCTCAAAAAAAAAAAAAAAAAAAAAAAGCAAAGGGCCCAGAATAGCCATAACAATCTTTAAAAGGAAGAAAGTTGTAGGACTTACACTTCCTGATTTCAAAACTTACTACAAAGCTACAGACTGTGGGGTTTTCAAAGAGGATAGACATATAGATCAATGTAATGGAATTGAGAATCCAGAAATAAACCCATACGCTTATGGGCAATTGATTTTGCACGAGAGTGCCAAAACAGTTCAATGGAGAAAGAATAGTCTTTTCAACAAATGGTGTTGGCCGGGCATGGTGGCTCAAGCCTATAATCCCAGCATTTTGGGAGGCCAAGGCAGGAGGATCACTTGAGCTCAGGAGTTTGAGACTAGCCTGGGCAACATAGTGAGACATCGTCTCTACTAAAAATAAAAATTAGGCTGGGCATGGTGGCTCACGCCTGTAATCCTAACACTTCGGGAGGCCAAGGTGGGTGGATCACCTGAGGTCAGGAGTTCGAGACCAGCCTGGCCAACATGGCGAAATCCCGTCTTAGCCAGCATGGTGGCAGGCGCCTATAATCCCAGCTACTCAGGAGGCAGAGGCCAGAGAATCGCTTGAACCCGGGAGGCGGAGGTTGCAGTGAGCCAAGACTGCGCCACTTCACTCCAGCCTGGGCAAAACAGCGAAACTCCATCTCAAAAAAAAAATTAAAAATTAAAATTAAAAATTAACTGAATGTGGCGGCCCACGCCCATAGTCCCAGCTACTTGGGAGGCTGAGGTGGGAGAATTGCTTGGAGCCTGAGCTGTGGTTGTGCCACTGTGCTTCAGCTTGGGTGACAGAGTGAGACTCTGTCTAAAAAAAAAAAAAAAAAAAAAAAAGGAAAGAATCCTGTGAAGTCAATTTAGCATGAAGCCCTCCACTTTTTTTTTTTTTGACAGAGTTTTTCTGTGTTGCTCAGGCTGGAGTGCAGTGGCGTGATCATGGCTCCCTGAAGCCTCAATCTCCTGGACTCAAGCAATCCTCTCACCTCAGCCTCCCAAGTAGCTGGGGCCACAGGAGTGGCACACCATACCTGGCTAATTTTTGTATTTTTTGTAGAGACAGGGTTTCACCATGTTGCCCAGACTGGCCTCCAACTCCTGGGCTCAAGCATTCCTCCTGCCTCGGCCTCCCAAAGTGCTGGGATTACAGGAGTGAGCCACCGCGCCCAGCCTAAGCCCCCTTCTCTTGATACCTGATCACCCTTGATATCTGATCAGGTTCCTCATCCTTCACCATCCATCAGGTGATATCTGATTACCTCAGCCTGTCTTTGGCAAGAATCTTGTAAGGTTTTAATGCAAATCCCCTTTACCCCTGGTGTTTTTTCATAATAATTTCCCATCTCCTAACCCCCACCCTGCACCTCAGTTATAAATTCCTCAGTTATACTTCCCATGCTGTATTGAGAGTTGAGCCCAATTTCTCTTTCTCCCCCACTGCAAAATCCCATTGTCATGGTCCCTATACCTATCACAATGGTCCTGAATAAAGTCTGCCTTACCATGCTTTGACAAGTGTCATCGAATAATTTTTTTCTTTAACAAGATATTTTCCCTTCATTTAAAATTGTCTACAATTAATGTATTATTTTTTCAGGAAAGTGATTTTAAAATAACAAATGGTTTTGGGAGGCCGAGGTGGGTGAAAGACCTGAGGTCAGGAGTTCAAGACCAGCCTGGCCAACATGGCAAAACCCCATCTCTACTAAAAATACAAAAATTAGCCAGGCATGGTGGCACGCACCTGTAATCCCAGCCACTCGGGAGGCTGAGGCAGGGGAATCGCTTGAACTCAGGAGGTGGAGGTTGTAGTGAGCCGAGATTGTGACACTGCACTCCAGTCTGGGTGACAGAGCAAGACTCTGTCTCAAAAAAAAAAGAGAAATGGTTACAAATGAGAGCCCCTGAGTGCTGAGGGAGGTGGGGCAGAGGTGAGGTGCATATGACTGGCCCCAGGGGAAGACCTTCAGGAGGAAGTATGTGTGGTCCCTGAGACTGACTACCAAACCTTGAATGCCTCTCTAAATTCCTGGAGCAGAATTGAATCCTAAAAATTAAGGCACTGTGTTATTTTTCTATACTGGGTTTAAATCTACACATAGTGTTATAAAAGTCAGGCCAAGCCAGCATCTCCCCATGATTCATAAACTAGTACACAATTTATCTTCCTCCACTTCTTCCCAGTTATTTTTTCTGTCAGTAAACCCTGAGACTGAGGAAAGAGAAAATATGTTGTGGTTGCAATGAGTGTGGGATTTTTAAAAAAAATCTATATAGCAAATACTGGCAATGCTTACCTATTCGAATATTATTCACTTTTCTTTCTGTTGAGGAAAAAAAAAAGGTGAGCCTGTGTCTCACAGGATTCAATCCTTAGCCTAGGCAGGTTCTAATTTTCTGACTTCATTAACCCTTTGAGTTCATGATAATAAAGATATTATGATCCCTTGCCAACAGTACTTTACTATTTAAAATAATTTTCACACGGTGGTTTACAGTTTAGAATATCATGTTCACAAACATTACCATATTTGAGTCTCACTGTAATATTGCCCAGATTTGTGCTTACCTACAAATAGGGGCCGACAGAGCACAGAGAGAGATGGAATGAGACGTGCTCTCAGCACTATCACTGCTGCTCTCTGATGCCATCTAGTGCAGGTTCAGCTGAACACTTATTTCTATTTAAAGCCCTATTGCCATCTGCCCCTTGGTGTCATCATTCTCTCCGATCTGGATGAAGCCCTGTCTCTGACCTGCATCCCTGTCCCTCTGGGTCTTGTCTCTGCCTTTCCCTGGCCTCATTGTCTCCTTTAAAACCTTCAGTGTGTGTAAATGCTGGTCATGGTGTAGGTGAAGGATGCCAAGAAGGGAGGCAGGGTATAGCAGGGCCCTTTTCTTTTCTTTTCTTTCCTTTCTTTCTTCCTTCCTTTCCTTACTTTTTTTTTTAAAGACAGAGTCGCACTCTGTCACCCAGGCTGGAGTGCAGTGACATGATCTTAGCTCACTGCAACCTCCGCTACCCAGGTTCAAGTGATTCTTCTGCCTCAGCCTCCCGAGCAGCTGGGATTATAGGTGTCTACCACCACACTTGGCTAATTTTTGTGTTTTTAGTAGAGACGGGGTTTCACCATCTTGGCCAGGCTGATCTTGAACTCTTGACCTCGTGATCCACCCGCCCTCTTTCTTTTGCAGTGCTTGCTGCGCTTCTAGAGTTCTCCTAGAGGGTGCAGGTTTCAAGGTAGCAGACACACCCATTTGGGTTGCTTTTTTATGTTTTTCATACGACATATTTCCAGATACATCAGTAAAGATGCTGTGGAAAAATTTCTGAAAGGGGCAGTATAGAAAACACCAACACCAGTGGGAGTAGAGCTGGGAAGGAGGACCGTGATGGTAAGAACACCAAGGAATCCCAGCCTTATTCATTCTCCCTTCGAACAAGAGCTTAGCTGAACACAGGAAAAACAGAGGTCTGAAGCGCTGAGTCTGAAGGATGCCCCCAGAGCTTTGAGGGCTCTGCTGTAGCATCTTTATCTTTGAGCATCCTCCACCACGGACACCTGGTGATCCCCTAAACATGCACAGGACCTGAGCCAGGTGCAGCGCCCAGAACGCTGCAGGGGCCCTCAGCACTGGGGATACAGCCTTCCTGCCCCACCTGCTGGCTCTCTGCCTTATTACATGTTACCATTTCAATCATGGCTAAATATATTCATACACATCTTATATGAATGTATATAAATGCCTTGAAAGATTGCAAAGACAACAAAAGATTAAAAGTCATTTTCTCTATGTGGTAGGATTAAGGGGGCTTTTCACTTTTTAATGTTGTTATGTTTGTTAAATTATCTACAATTAAGTGCATCATTGTGTAATCAGTAAAAAATTAATCCAAGTAGTCTTCCAATTAAAAAATTATTATTCTATGATTCATCCTGGCATTTTGATGGCCTTATTTTTACATTTATATTTTTGAGCCTTCTGGATTTTAGTTTAAGGACAGTTATAGATCTGCTGTTTTCTTTTTCCAGATAACTAGTTGTTGCGACCTTTAGCAACCTAAATGTCCATCAATAGGCATCTCATTAAATAAATTATGCTCCATACGGACACAAATAAAGGAACAATAGACACCAGGCCTACTTGAGGGAGGAGGGTGGGAGGAGGGTGAGGATTGAAAACCTACCTATCAGGTACTACGCTTACTACCTGGGTGACAAAATAATCTATACACCAAACCCCCACAACATGCAATTTTCCTATAGAACAAACCTGCACATGTACCCCTGAACATAAAATAAAAGTTAAAAAACAAATACAGGCTGGGCGCAGTGGCTCACGCCTGTAATCCCAGCACTTTGGGAGGTCGAGGTGGGCGGATCATGAGGTCAGGAGATGGAGACCGTCTTGACCAACATGGTGAAACCCCGTCTCTACTAAAATATAAAAAATTAGCTGGGTGTGGTGGCACGTGCCTGTAATCCCAGGTCCTTGGGAGGCTGAGGCAGTGAAATCGCTTGAACCCAGGAGGTGGAGGTTCCAATGAGCTGAGGTCGCACCACTGCACTTCAGCCTGGTGACAGAGCAAGACTCCATCTCAAAAAAACAAAAACAAACAAACAAATAATGCTACAGCCACCCACTGAAATACTATGCAGACATGAAAAATGAGAGAATTTGATGTCATGTGCTGATAGGACAAATGCTCACATCATATTATTCGGTGGAAAAGCAAAGTAGGAGGCCAGGCGCGGTGGCTTACGCCTGTAATCCCAGCACTTTGGGAGGCCAAGGCAGACGGATCACCTGAGGCCAGGAGTTCAAGACCAGCTTGACCAACATGGAGAAACCCCGTGTCTACTAAAAATACAAAAAAATTAGCCAGGCATGGTGGCGGGAGACTGTAATCCCAGCTACTCGGGAGGCTAAGGCAGGAGAATCGCTTGAACCAGGAAGGCGGAGGTTGCAGTGAGCCGAGATCGCGCCATTGCACTCCAGCCTGGGCAACAAGAGCAAAACTCCGTCTCAAAAAAAAAAAAGAAAAGAAAAAAAGAAAAGTAGGAAACGGTTTGTATATCATGATCTCAGGTTAGAATATATGTATGATGTATGTTTCCATTTATCTACCTTCCTGTAGATTCTTAAATATTTTTCTGGAAAGATACAGCAGAAGGCTAATAATGGTTCAGTTGTTCCTGGGGGCGGTGAGAAGAAAGAAAGAAAAAAGGAAAGGAAAATTTTACTTTTCATTTTATTCCTTTGATAGTGGTTGAATTATTTTTCAATATGTAATGATATTACTTTTGTTTCATAACAAACATAAAAATCATAAGTGGAACATGACTTTCATGTGTGTATGGATTTTATGTCCTCTTAAAAATTAGGTGGCCAAACATGGTGGCTCACACCTGTAATCCCAGCACTTTGGGAGGCCAAGGTGGGTGGGTCCCTTGAGCCTAGGAGTTTGAGAGCAGCCTGGGCAACCTGGTGAATCCCCATCTCTACAGAAAAATACAAAAATCAGCTAGGCATGGTGGTACACGCCTGTAATCCTAGCGACTCAGGAGGCTAAGGCGGGAGGATCAGAGAGGTCGAGGCTGCAGTGAGCTATGATCGCACCACTGCCCTCCAGCCTGGGCCAGAGTGAGACCCTAAAAAAAAAAAAAAAAGGCCAGGGGCAGTGGCTCACGTCTGTAATCCCAGCACTTTGGGAGGCCGAGGCAGGCAGATCCCTTGAGGTCAGGAGTTCAAGACCAGCCTGGCCAACATGGGGAAACCCTGTCTCTACTAAAAATACAAAAAATAGCCAGGCGTGGTCATGCGCGCCTGTAATCCCAGCTACTTGGGAGGCTGAGGCACTAGAATCACTTGAACCTGGGAAGTGGAAGTTGCAGTGAGCTGAGATCGTGCCATTGCACTTCAGCCTGGGCAACAAGAGCGAAACTCTATCTCAAAAACAAAAAACAAAAAAACAAAAAAACCCCTAAAACTTAAAGTATAATAATAAACAAACAAACAAACAAAAAAACCAGGTGATCCCTTCAATCAATCAGTAGCTGTCTGTGTTTTGATTGATTCTGTTCCCTTTGAAACTTCTTCCCCTACCAGTGATAATGCCTAAAATGTATTGATTACTTTCTATGAGCCAAGCACTGTTCTGCTTATCAATGCTGTAGTTATCTAATATTCCTTCGTTAGTAGGTAGCAGGGCTGAGATTTATGCTTAGACTTTCAACCCAGAGGATATGGAACTTTTTTGTTAGTTTGTTTTGTGCACAGGGAAAGAAGGAACAGAGCCTGTGGAACTTAACCCCTACTCCATACTGCCTTTTTGTTAAACTTGCAGAAATTGGAAGAAAACTTCAATTTTATTTATTTATTCAGAAAATATCTTCTGGGTTTTTGTTTTGTTTTGCTTTTTTGAGACGGAGTTTTGTTCTGTTGCCCAGGACAGAGTGCAGTGGCGTGATCTCACTTCAAGCTCACTTCAAGCTCCGCCTCCAGGGTTCAAGCAATTTTCTTGCTTCTGCCTCCCCAGTAGCTGGGATTACATGTGCCCACTACCATGCTCAGCTAATTTTTGTATTTTTAGTAGAGACGGGGTTTCACCATGTTGGCCAGGCTGGTCTTGAACTCCCAACCTCAGGTGATCCACCCGCTTCTGCCTTCCAAAGTACTAGGATTACAGGTGTGAGCCACCGCGCCCGCCAGTAAACATTTTCTGAATGTCTGGTATATCCAGGTGAAGCTGTTAAGTTGCTTCTTCCTTTTGTTTGGATATTTTTTTTGGAGGGAGGAGTGGTCCCACTCTGTCTTCCAGAGTGGAGGGCAGTGGCTAAATCATAGCTTACTGCAGCTTTAAACTCCTGGGTTCAAGCAATTCTCCTGCCTCAGCCTCCCAAGTATTTGGGACCACAAGCACATGCCACTGCTCCTGGCTCCTGTTTCTTGCTTCTGTTAAGGAAAGCTTCCCGGAGGAAGCACAAATGGGTGAACCTAAAGTCTCTTTGATGTTGCTAGTGGGACTGAGGAGCAGGAAATGGTGGCTCACGGGAGCAGCAAACACTAAAGCTGTCCTTAGCTACGCGAAGGACTTGCAGAGGAGTCTTGCTGATAATGGCCACTTCATCTTGGAGTTCATAGCTGGTTCCTTGCATGCTGGAGATACAAAGTGGTCCTACCCTTCCAAGAGTTTCAGCTTCCTAAAAACTCTTGCAGTAATTCTGCCAGTGGATTTATTATTAAAGGGAAGCGGAGGGTGCTAGTGTGTTGCCCTCAATAAAGGGAAGTTGAGAAGTGGAAAAACACAATTCTCAAACTTTTTTGTTATTCATTAACTCATGTCATCATTTTATTGAACTCATTAATGAGAGAACCAATAAGGAGACAAAAGAGCTGCTTTGAGGAGGATTTGAGAAACAGGAATTTAAACAGTCAATAAGAAAAGAATTGTCAGGCCAGGCATGGTGGCTCACGCCTGTAATCCCAGCACTTTGGGAGGCCGAGGCAGGCGGATTGTGAGGTCAGGAGATCGAGACCAGCCTGGCCAACATGGCGAAACCCTGTCTCTACTAAAAATACAAAAAAATTAGCTGAGCGTGGTGGTGCACACCTGTAATCCCAGCTACTCAGGAGGCCGAGGCAGGAGAATGGCTTGAACCCGGGAGGCAGAGGTTGCAGTGAGACAAGATCGCACCACTGCACTCCAGTCTGGGCGACAGAGTGGGACTCCGTCTCAAAAAAAAGAAAAGAATGTCAAAATTAGATTGATAATTTAGATATAGGACTGGCTAACTTTCTAGCACAGTAAAACCAAAACCCCTTTGTGATTAACTTCTCAATTGGGCAATAAAACCCTATCATTGTATCAAGTTCTGCAGGTTAGCCTTTACCCAACAGGACTATAAATGTCTGTGCATTTGTAAGTTGTAGATTATTTATCAAATGTACTGTGACAACAAAGTCACATTCCCTGGGAGAGTCAGATGAGTGTCAAGCAAACTTATTAGAAAATGCTCTAGACCAGGTGTGGTGGCTCATGTCTGTAATCCCAACAATTTGGGAGGCCAAGGCGGGTAGATCACTTGAGGTCAGAAGTTCGAGATCAGCCTGGCCAACATGGTGAAGCCCCGTCTCTATTAAAAATACAAAAAATTAGCTTGGTGTGGTGGCTCACGCCTGTAACCCTAGCTACTTGGGAGGCTGAGACAGGAGAATCACTTGATCCCAGGAAGCAGAGGTTGCATTGAGCCAAGATCATGCCACTGCACTTCAGCCTGGGTGACAGAGTGAGATTCCTTCTCAAAAAAAAAAAAAAAAGAAGAAAAGAAAAAAGAAAAAAAAGAAAAAATGCTCTAGTGTGATATATAAAAAAATCCTCAATTTTACCATTTCCAAGTTTCAAGAAATTATTCTTTCACAGCAAAGAAGAACTCATCTAGCTTTAGAGATAGGCTACCTGGGTTACTTAGTAAGTATATGAACTTGAACAAGTTACTAGCTTACTAACCCTTTCTGAACATCACTTTCCTGGTCTATAAAATGGGAATAATAATACTGTGATAGAGTTTATTTCTCCCATGTGAAAGAACATACAGCTATAAGTTGGGGTTCACTTTTTTTTTTTTTTTGAGACAGAGTCTCACTCTGTCACCAGGCTGGAGTGCAGTGGTGCAATCTCAGCTCACTGCAACCTCCGTCTCCCTGGTTCAAGCGATTCTCCTGCCTCAGCCTCCCGAGTAGCTGGGATCACAGGCACGCGCCACCACACCCAGCTAATTTTTGTAATTTTAGTAGAGATGGATTTCACCATGATGGCCAGGATGGTCTCAATCTCCTGACCTCGTGATTCACCCGCCTCAGCCTCCCAAAGTGCTGGGATTACAGGTGTGAACACGGCACCCAGCCAGAGTTCACTTTTTCAAATTATTCCAATCCTGGTCTGAGAATGGTTGATTAATACGTGTAGATCTTACTTCTGGGTTTGTTTGACCAATATGAGATTGGGAGTGAGAATCTGTACAAACTGAAGCCAGACCCCACCTAGACTGGCCAGAATCAGAAGACAAGCCAGGGATTTGAGAAGCCACGCTTTGAGGCCTGGGAAAATAAGATGGGCTAAGAAAATAAACAGTCAAGATTTTGAGATATTTATTTGGAGGGATAGCTGAGCAAAAATACAGTTTAAACGGTCCACTTGAATATCAGCAGTGAATTGACCATTATAAACAGAATGACAAGTGACATGATTATTAATAAGTAAAATCTAATTTTACATCTTGGTAACTTTGCAAACAGCTTCTTGACATTTGCCTTTTACTGTTCCTTGTGCTTTCCATTATTTCACTTTATCCTTATCCACCTCTGAGATGGGCAGAAGAGGTACTATTTTGTTTGACTGAGAACTTCATACAGTCAGGAGCTTCATACAATCATTTGCTTCTGTGTCTCTGCAGACTGAGGCCCTTTAGAAAGTAATTTAAATAGAATTGAGTTTCCATTGTGCAGATGAAGTAACAGGCCCAGCAGCGAAGCCTGGGCCTGTGTCACCTAAGGTGACACTGTGGCAGAACTGTAACTAGAACCCAAGCCTCCTGTCCTCTACTAGAAGGTCTCCTATGCCCAGCAGCTGTAAAGGTTTGTACTGCAGAGTTCTACCTTGCACGCTCTGGGGAGTAAGCCTTGCATACTTCAGGCCTCTATATATGGCCAGGAGTGGAGTCTAGGAGAGCGTCCAAATAAAGCACCAGGCTGAGTTCAATGTTGCTGCCTTTTGGCCCTGGAGAAATGCTGGAAAGCCAGGCATGGGGGTGCCCGCCTGTACTCCCAGCTAATCAGGAGGATGAGGCAGGAGAATCACTTGAACCCAGAAGTTTGAGGCTGCAGTGAGCAATGATCACACCACTGTACTGCAGTTCTGAGTCACAGAGACAGATCCCATCTCACTCTCTCTCTCTCTCTTTTTTTTTTTTTTTTCAGACAGAATCTTGGTCTATCGCCCAGGCTGGAGTGCAGTGGTGCGATCTCAGCTCACTGCGACCTCCGCCTCCTGGGTTCAAGTGATTCTCCTGCCTCAGCCTCCCAAGTAGCTGGGACTACAGGCACGCATCATCATGCCCGGCTAACTTTTTGTATTTTTAGTAGAGATGGGGTTTCACCATGCTGGCCAGGCTGGTCTTGAACTCATGACCTTGTGATCCGCCCACCTCGGCCTCCCAAAGTGCTGGGATTACAGGCATTAGCCACCGTGCCCAGCCAAATCCCATCCCTTAAAAAAATTTTTAGAGATCCTATCTCTTAAAAAAATTTTTAGAGATCCCATCTGTTAAAAAAAATTATTAAAAAAATGTTGGAAAGAGAAAGACCAAAGAGAGCCATGCCTTTTAAAGTCCTCCCTAAAGTGTCATCTTGCCAGCCCTTCCAGTCATTCACACAACAATCCTAGTCATAAACTGGGGCCATGCTTGCCATCACCAGGGGTCAGGAAAACTGGCCAGCTGAACCTGCTTGGATGGTGGAAGCGAGTGTGGGTGTTAGAGAAGGAGATGTCGGGACTCCGTGCTTGTCTGGAATCACTCCACCACACTCTGGTCAGTAGGTATAGGACTGACAAAGCCCTTCCTCAGAGATGCTGGGTCAGTGAGGAGACCCCAGCTTGTCTCAGCCATCTCACCCCACTCCCATTTTAGCGTCTGGGGGGAAACTGAGAATGAAAGTGACCTTGAGTAAACTAAACACAGTTTGGCTATTCATTATATGTATTCCTGTCTGTTCCTTTCTCATTCTGTCCTCACTGGGTTGTTTTTGCATCTGTCAAATAGTTCTAGGCTTTCCTCCCCATCAAACTCAGCCTTTTATGGATTTACATACCAGAGACTTCCAAGCCACAGTTCAGAAGTGATTTGTGGAGAAAGGAACAGTAAATTTGTGGAGAAATGAGCCTGGGAATGGATGCAGTGGCCAGGCTGTGGAGCCATTTATATCTACTTCTCCCTCTGCCGGAGGCTGTTTGTTTGAGTTGGCAGGAAGCCAATCAGATGCACTGGATCAGGGTGTCCTGTCCAAGGAGACAGGGGGCTATTTGTCTTCTCTCATGAGAGAGACAGTCGTGGGAGGAGGAGGGAAGCGCTTAAGAACAGGGATGGAGTAGATAGGGAAAAGATAGTCAATCAGATCTCTCAAGAGTATAGTCGGCCGGGTGCAGTGGCTCATGCTTGTAATCCCAGCACTTTGGGAGGCCAAGGAGGGAGGGTCACTTGAGTCCAGGGGTTTGAGAGCAGCCTGGGCAAGATAGGGAGACCCTGTCTTTACAAATAATTTTTAAAAGTTAGCTGGGTGTGGTGGTGCACATCTGTGCACCAAGCTACCTGAGAGGCTGAGGTGGGAGGGATCGTTTGAACCTGGGAGGTCGAGGCTGCAGTGCGCCATGATCGTATCACTGCACTCCAGCCTGGGTGACAGAGTGAGACCCTGTTTCAAAAGAAAGAAAGAAAGAAAGAAAAGTATATTCAAGGTGAGCTTCCTATTATTAGATATGGCCCAAGTGAAAACCTGGAGCTTGTCTGAATTGGACAGCCAAGGAGAGAGGCAGAAGAGGATTAGTGGAAAAAGCAGAAACTTCTAGGCTTGACTCAATGACTGTATTGTGCGTGATTTGGGGCAAGCCACCTTCCTCTCCATCTCCTCCTCTAGTAAATGTTCAGCATCCTGAGGTCTCCAGTTCTGAAAGGGTATGGTTCTTTTTTTTTTTTTTTTTGAGATGGTGTCTCACTCTGTTGCCCAGGCTGGAGTGCAGTGGCACGATCTCAGCTCACTGCAACCTCCTCCTGGGTTCAAGCGATTTTCCCACCTCAAGCCTCCCGAGGAGCTGGGATTACAGGCGCACACCACCATGCCTGGCTAATTTTTGTATTTTTAGTAGAGACAGAGTTTCACCATGTTGGCCAGGCTGGTCTCGAACTCCTGACCTCAGGTGATCCGCCCACTTCGGCCTCCCAAAGTGTTGGGATTATAGGTGTGAGCCATAGTGCCCAGCCTCTTTTTTTTTTTTTTTTTAACTCACAGAACATGAAATTATATGGTTTTAATAATGCAAAGCTACTTCCATGGGGCTACAGCAGAGAGAAAATAAGGCTAAAATGGAACTTAAAGCTCAAAACATTTCTACATGGCTGTTTACAGGGGCAGGTGGAGGGAGTCCTCCCTCTGCATTAATAGAAAACAAAAACAATTGGGCCTATTCGGCATTGTTGGAAATGTTCTATGTCTTGATCTGGTGGGTTTTTACCTGTGTACAATATATGTACACACGTAAAAATTCATTTAGCTGTACACATAATTTCTATGACTTTTTTGTATGTAAATTATACCTCAATGGAAAGGTTTTAAAATGGACTTAATTAGGCCCAGCATGGTGGCTCACGCCTGTAATCCCAGCATTTGGGGAGGCTGAGGTGGGCGGATTGCTTGAGCCCAGGAGTTCAAGACCAGCCTGGGCAACATGATGAAACCTCATCTCTACAAAAAAATACAAAAATTATCTTGGCGTGGTGGCGCACGTCTGTAGTCCCAGATGCTCTGAAGGCTGAGGAAAGAGGAGGATGGCTTGAACCCGGGAGGCAGAGCAGAGGTAGCAGTGAGCCGAGACTGCGCCACTGCACTCCAGCCTGGGTGACAGAGCCAGACTCTGTCTCAAAAAAAAAAAAAAAAAAAAGTTAATTAGACGGGTGTGGTGGTGCGCGCCTGTAGTCCTAGATAATTTCGAGGCTAAGGGGGAAGATCTCTTGAGCCCAGGTGTTCGAGGCTGCAGTGAGCTATGATTGGGCCACTGCACTCCTACTTGGGCAACAGATAGAGGCCTTGTCTTAAAAAAAAAATTTTAAAAAGGCCGGGCACGGTGGCTCACGCCTGTAATCCCAGCACTTTGGGAGGCCGAGGCAGGCGGATCACCAGGTCAGGAGATCGAGACCATCCTGGTTAACACGGGGAAACCCCGTCTCTACTTAAAATACAAAAAATTAGCCGGGTGTGGTGGTGGGTGCCTGTAGTCCCAGCTACTTGGGAGGCTGAGGCAGAAGAATGGCATGAACCCGGGAGTCGGAGCTTGCAGTGAGCCAAGATCGTGCCACCGCACTCCAGCCTGAGCGACAGTGCGAGACTCCGTCTCAAAAAAAAAAAAAAAAAAAAAAAAAAGACTTGAGAGAAAGTGAATTTCCATCCAGGAAGATTAAGGATCCCCTTCTGAGTACTTTAAAAAGGTTATCTATTTGTGCTGAGGGAAGAGGTAGAATATTAGGGAACCAATAAGATAACTTCTCTTTTGGAGAGGTTTCCAAAGTCCTTCTGTCCTCAGAAATTCTCATGTTCCTCCCCAGGGACAGAAAAATCCTCCTTGCTGTCTAATCTCCATCTCTCCTATTGCAATGCTAGCCACTCCCTCTGCCCTCATGGAGCCCAGCCTTTCCCCTGGCCTCAGACAAAATCTCTTTAGAGCCCTGTAATTTGGAGTGTTGAGAGAGATTCCATTTCAACCTTTTCACCATCCGTTCTCTGCCCCTCACCCTATTCTCTTCTTCTTGGGGATGTCAATTCCTGTTCTGAGCCCGCCCCCCACCCAGGCCCTTTTCCGGTGGTATGTGCCAGCCGGTCCTGCATCCCACATCCCCAGCTGTTGACATTTCATTGCCATTACCCACAGAATAAAGAAAGGGGCCCTGTTATTCAACAATAGGGGAAAAGACAGAGACAATGGGAAATTGTGCTTCCGATGGGGTGGGGACTGAGAAGGAAAGGACAGACAGACAGACAGACAGGGGGTTGTACAGAAGAGGTCCGGTTTCTTGAAGCAGCTGGAAGTCCTGGATAGTTCCCACCTGAAAGTCTGTTTGCAAAGGCAATGCGCACTCAGGCACCAGAGGGCAGAGGTGAGTACTCTGTTGTGGGGAGAGGGGAGATGGGGATGCTGCTTAGATGAGGCGCATATGGAAAGGGAGGCAGCTCGAGCTTGGCAGTTATGGATCTTTGAGCCACATTTAGAGTTCATCCCCATCCCCATCAGTCCAACACCTTCATATCCACCGATCAATCTACACCTCTCTGGTTCAAAGGCATCGAGAAAAAATGAAGCACCTCACTTTCTGCACTCTTCCAGGTCATCATTCCTGGGTTGCTCCCTTTATTCCACTCCCCTTCATGGGTTCCCAGCCCTCATCCCAACCCCAGCATCTTCCCCTGGTCCCGGAATAGTGATTTCCACAGATATAGTCACAGGGCTGGACACAGGTCTCTTAACATGGCTTAGTGGACTGATGGGGGTGGGGGTCGTTCTTGGCACCTTGGCTTCTTCTTTGAGCACAGGACAGAAGCTTTTCCTCAAAGGTGCAAAAGGAGCAACTGTGTTGAACAGGGGCTCAAGTTCCAGGGTTTTAAGGTGCTTGGAACTCCCAGGAGCCTGGCAAACCTTCATCCAGAACCTCTTCCTCAAGCAAGACAAAAAGCTGCTAAGCACTGCTCCCTCCGTCTCTGTGAAGAGACCAGCTTCTAACAGGTAGGCAATGGGCTGCTGACTACTCTCATTTTCTGTAAGAGGTATGAAGAGCATGTGTGTGCACTGTTTTGAAATGCAGAAATATAGATTAGTGATTAAGCGCTTGAGCCTCACTGTCAGATCTGTATTCAAATCCCAGCAAACCCTTCCTCTTACTAGCTGTGTGACCTCATTTCCTAAAATAGGTGCACCTTGGTTTCAGCATGTGTACAGTAGGATTTATAATTGTTTCTGCCTCAGGATTGCTGGGAGGAGTAAATATAAAAATATACATGTAAAGTGCTTAGAGCAGTGTCAGGCACATTCAATTTTAAACGTGTTCATTTGAGCTATCATTATTGTTGGTCTCAGTCAATCTCAGTCCTCACGATCATTCTTACTTATCAAGTTCTCCTATAAAGAAGTGGTTCTCTTGCTCATGTTCGCATCCCAGATACTTTCACCTTTAACCACTGAGAAGTTTTCTATGCATAACCTCCGTTTCTCCTACTGCAAACTGGTCTTTGGTCCTCATTTGCAGAAAGATGGAGCTCCATTCTTTAGATTTCTGGCAACTTCTCAGGGTGCTTCCTCCATCTCCCCATTCCCCATCCCATCTTCCCATGAATCCTTAATGTAAGTTCATTAAACCATACACACTTATTTAGCACCTACTATGTACCAGAAACTATGCTGGGAACTGGAGATAACAGCTAACACATAGACAGCACTTATTACATTCCAGACACTATTTCAAGCATTTTGCGTATATCAATTTATTTATTCCTCACAACTACTCAGTGAGGTAGGTGTGCTATTATTCCCCACATTTCACTGATGAGGACACTGAGGCAGAGAGAGGTTAAGGAACTTGTGCATGATAATTAACTTATGCATAGTCATGCAATTAGGAAATAGAGTAGCCAGATTTGGAAAACGAATGCAGTGAAGTCAAGAAGTCTTCATTTTTTTTTTTTTTTTTTTTGAGACAAGGTCTTGCTCTATCCCCTAGGCTGGAGTGCAGTGGCACAATCTTGGCTCACTGCAGCCTCCACCTCCTGGTTTCAAGCGATTCTCCTGCCTCAGCCTCCCGAGTAGCTGGAATTACAGGTGCATGCCACCACGCCCAGCTGAATTTCGTATTTTTAGTAGAGACAGGGTTTCACCATGATGGCCAGGCTGGTCTTGAACTCCTAATCTCAAGTAATCCACCCGCCTCAGCCTTCCAGTGTTGGGATTACAGGTGTGACCCACTGTGCCTGGCCCAGTCCAATTTTTTTTTTTAAGGTCAGAGGGATAAGAATGATACAATAGGTGCTGGAGGCGATGGCTCACACCTGTAATCTCAGCATTTTGGGAGGCCAAGGAGCGTGGATCACCTGAGGTCCGGAGTTCTCAAGACCAGCCTGGCCAACATGGTGAAACCCTGTTTCTACTACAAATACAAAAATTAGCCCGGAGTGGTGGTGGGTGCCTGTAGTCCCAGCTACTCAGGAGAATCGCTTGAACCCGGGAGGTGGAGGTTGCAGTGAGCTGAGATGGTGCCATTGCACTCCAGCCTGGGCAACAAGAGTGAAACTCCCTCTCAGAAAAAAGAAAAAAAAAAAAAAAAAGAATGTTACAATAAAGGAGGAGCTGGGTGCAGTGGCTCAAACTTGGGAGGCTGAAGTGGGAGCATTGCTTGAGCCCAGGAATTGGGCAACCTAGTAAGACCCTGTATCTGATTAAAAAATTTTTTTTACCGGGAGGTGGAGCTTGCAGTGATCCAAGATCGTGCCACTGTGCTCCAGCCTGGGCAACAGAGCGAGACTCCATCTAGAAAAAAAAAACACAAAACAAATTTAAAGGGGGGAATAACTACAGTACTGAAATAGATAATTGCATTTGAAGTAGTTTTTAAAAATAACTTTATAATTTTATATTTTTTAACTTCATAATTTCTGTATCTATATGTGGATACATATTATGTTCAAATTCACACTGTTAAGTTTAGGTGCTAATAAAAGTACTTGTAAGACAAAAAAAGTCCTGGCTGGGTGTGGTGGCTCATGCTTGTAATCCCAGCATTCTGGGAGGCCAAGACAGATTACTTGAGCCCAGGAGTTCAAGACCAGCCTGGGCAACATTCTGAAACTCCATCTCTACAAAAAATAGAAAAGAAAAAAATTTAGTGGGGTTTCATGGTGTGCGCCTGTAGTCCCAGCTACTCAGGAGGCTGAGATGGGAGGATGGCTTGAGTCTGGGAGGGCGAGGCTGCAGTAAGCCATGATCATACCACTGCACTCCAGTCTGGGCGAGAGAGTAAAACCCTGTCTCAAAAAAAAAAAGGTCCGCAGTCCAGCAGATCACAGTGCACTACAGTGTGGCAAACTGGGGGTGGGTAAAGGTTTCCCAAAGGAGGTGAGGCCTGTGCGACCAATGCAGGCACAAAGGAAAGGAAATGAATGCAAACTTGGACTGTGTGGGAAACTGCCAGAAATCCAGCATGTCAGGGGAACAGTGCAGAGGCCAAAGTGGTTAAGAGGCGAGGCGGGGACCATGCTGGAGGTGCAGGGAGCAACTGGATTATAGACAGCCTTGGAAGCTGTGGTTATGAGATTGGATTTTATCCTCAGGGCAACTGGGAGTCACTTTCAAGCAGGAGAGTGACAAGGCCAGGCACGGTGGCTCACGCCTGCTGTAATCCCAGCACCAGCCTTGTCAACACAGCATGACCTTGTCTCTACTAAAAACTTAAAAAGAAACAATTAGCTGGGTGTGGTGGCACATGTCTGTAGTTCCAGCTACTCAGGAGGCTGAAATGGGAGGATCACCTGGAGCTGGAAGTTAGGGGCTGCAGTGAGCCATGATCATGCCACGGGACTCCAGCCTGGACCATGGAGCAACACTCTGTCTCAAAAAAATAAATAAATAAATAAATAAATAAATAAATAAATAAATAAAATAAAAAAGCAGGAGAGTGATAAGATCATTTTGACTCTGGCTTCAAGATGGAGAATGGGTGTTGGGAGAGGATAGAGACGAGCTGGCAGTCCAGATGGCAAGCTTGGGAAGTAGCACTTGTGATGAGGGGGACAGGTAGAGAAGATGCTAAATTAGTACCTGCAGGCTGAGAGGATGTGACAGAGGAAGAGAGGGAGAGGAAGGGGATTGCTACTGCCTTCTTCCCCTCATCACCTTCATTTTGTCACCAACCCCTTTTCTCTGCCCCAGTGGCTTCCAGCTGGACAGTCCCTTCTAGGATCTCTGATGGGAGTTCACCCACAACCCTGCTCTTCCCCACCCTTTTGCCCCAGTCCTAAGAACTGCCCACTCTTTGTGCCCTGCAGACGGTGCCGGGCTGACCCCCCATCATGCCAGGCTGGCTCACCCTCCCCACACTCTGCCGCTTCCTTCTTTGGGCC
The DNA here is from genome assembly GCF_000001405.40 of Homo sapiens. Classification (NCBI taxonomy): domain Eukaryota; kingdom Metazoa; phylum Chordata; class Mammalia; order Primates; family Hominidae; genus Homo; species Homo sapiens. The sequence goes on from NW_025791758.1 coordinate 182,101, forward strand.
TTCACCATCTTCCACAAAGCCCAAGGAGACCCAGGTAAGACCCCAGCCCAGGCCAGAATCTGGGGGAGGCTTGGGGAGACTGCAAGGGTGGGGAAAGGGGAAAGGGCAGTTGTTGCAGGTACCCAGGGACTGAAAGTCATTGCTGAGAAGGCAATGGAGGAGAGGGTTGGGGGGCTCTGGAGAAAGCATTTGGGGAGCAGGGTCTGATGGGCACTTGGGGCAGTGAGGATTGGGGGTTCCTGCCACTGTGGCCCCCTCTGCCCAGCATCCCACCCGGGCCCCCACTACCTCCTGCCCCCCATCCACGAGGTCATTCACTCTCATCGTGGGGCCACGGCCACGCTGCCCTGCGTCCTGGGCACCACGCCTCCCAGCTACAAGGTGCGCTGGAGCAAGGTGGAGCCTGGGGAGCTCCGGGAAACGCTGATCCTCATCACCAACGGACTGCACGCCCGGGGGTATGGGCCCCTGGGAGGGCGCGCCAGGATGCGGAGGGGGCATCGACTAGACGCCTCCCTGGTCATCGCGGGCGTGCGCCTGGAGGACGAGGGCCGGTACCGCTGCGAGCTCATCAACGGCATCGAGGACGAGAGCGTGGCGCTGACCTTGAGCTTGGAGGGTGAGGCCCTTCCGCTCCCGCCCCATTCCTGTGTAGCAGCGGGTCCGCCTCGCCTGGGTCTCCCAGGGCTCCTTCCCAGTATCTCCTCCGCACCCCTGGGGACCCCAGCTCCCTCTCCCAGGCCGCGCCGCCCTTCCTCCCCCTCCGCTCCCATCCGCTGGCCCTCCCCAGGATCCCCGCCACCCCCTAGGTGTGGTGTTTCCGTACCAACCCAGCCGGGGCCGGTACCAGTTCAATTACTACGAGGCGAAGCAGGCGTGCGAGGAGCAGGACGGACGCCTGGCCACCTACTCCCAGCTCTACCAGGGTGAGCGGCCGAACCCAGCACTTCCCAAGCCCCGCGGAGCTGTCTCAGGGGCCCGAGAGAGGGCGCCAGGCGAGCTCAGTCTGGCTCCTGCCTATGACGCCTCTTATCCCCGACCTCCGCCGTCTCCCGCCAGCTTGGACCGAGGGTCTGGACTGGTGTAACGCGGGCTGGCTGCTCGAGGGCTCCGTGCGCTACCCTGTGCTCACCGCACGCGCCCCGTGCGGCGGCCGAGGCCGGCCCGGGATCCGCAGCTACGGACCCCGCGACCGGATGCGCGACCGCTACGACGCCTTCTGCTTCACCTCCGCGCTGGCGGGTGAGGCGCGGGACGAAGGCAGGGTCTTGGGGAGGGGTCTGAAAAATGTGGGGGACGAGGAGTGGACCTCAGCTTGAGATCAGGGCAGGGTCTCCGGGTCCCTCCAAGGCACCGCCCCCCCATCAGCCCGCCCGCCCGCCCAGGCTCCAGCTCACCTCTCCAAACCCTCCCTGCACTTTTGCCTCGATCCCCCAACTCCTCTTACCCAAGCTCGATCCAGCACCTCTGCGGTCCCGCACCCCAACTCCGCCTCCTGGGTGTCAGCCGCCCCTCTCCGCCCACCCTGCCCTCGGTCGGTGACCCGCTGTGGTCCCCAGGCCAAGTGTTCTTCGTGCCCGGGCGGCTGACGCTGTCTGAAGCCCACGCGGCGTGCCGGCGACGCGGCGCCGTGGTGGCCAAGGTTGGGCACCTCTACGCCGCCTGGAAGTTTTCGGGGCTAGACCAGTGCGACGGCGGCTGGCTGGCTGACGGCAGTGTGCGCTTCCCAATCACCACGCCGAGGCCGCGCTGCGGGGGGCTCCCGGATCCCGGAGTGCGCAGTTTCGGCTTCCCCAGGCCCCAACAGGCAGCCTATGGGACCTACTGCTACGCCGAGAATTAGGCGCCCACCGTGTCCCCTCCAGCGCGCGCGAAGAAGCTTGGGAGTCGTGGCGGGGGTCTCTCGCCACCCCTTTCCGGAGAGCCTCCCCTCCCTCCAGACCCGGAGCGGCCTCTCCAGACCTGCCTTCCCAGCCGGGGGCTGCGGGCCTCGGACCCCGGCTGGCCCGGCGGCGGGGAGGGGAGGCGGGGGCGCCTCCGGCGGCGAGATGCAGAGGTGACCCTCGGACCCGCTGCCGTTCGCGAACCCTAGCAGAGGACTCAGCCACCGCCGGGGGGAGGGTGAGGCGGCCGGGGGCATTAACTGACCTCTGAGTACAGCAATAAAATAACCTGGGGATCTTTTGTGTTGGGTGGAGCTGTAAGAGCTGCGAGGCGTGGAGGGGTGTGTGTGTGTGTGTGTGCACGCTCATGTCGGGGCTGATGACCCGGGATCCTGCGTGCCCACTGAGCACCTAAGACAGGGTAAGGGGCAGGGCTGTTGCTGTTAAGGGATGGGTCAGCGGAAGAGCGGGAGTGCGGCCGGAGGGCACCAATAGGCCAAGGGAGAGAGAGAAGTGGAGACGTAGTGGGCGCCTGGCCCAGGACCCACGCAGAACCCAGCATGTTGTTGCGCCAGGCGCCACGCGGGGGCGCCGCACACTCACCTAAGATTAGTTCAAATCTGCCAGGGGCGCCCCATGCCACCAGGCCCACCCTATGTGCCCCAGATAACAAATATAAGACAACTTAAACATATTTCAAAATGTGCAGGCTGCAGACCTCCCTGAAGCGTTTGCGGGGACTACTGTTAAAGATAGGAAAGTCATATTGTTGCTAGAATTGACAGGAAATTAACCTTGCGTAAGGCGGAGGCAAATACCAAACACCAGGGCCACCAAGGCAAATGGGGAACTGGACAAGTAACATTCTTAACCTGTGGCTAAAGGAAACATACTAGCAATTCAAGAGACAAATTCTAATGTTATTAATTCACTTTTCACATATATATTGGTGTGTATATACATAGGTTTCTAACTATACTACAAAAAAGCCTGAGCTAGATAATACTAATGAATGGGGCAAAGGGCACGAACACGCTAATGGTGCGTGATATATGTTGTAAAATTGATTTCCAAGGGGGTTCTTGCTATAATTGCTAAAGAAAATTCATCCCATGGAACATTATATAAGGGACAGAGAATGATAGAATGAACAGTCTTCAATAACCATCATGCAGCAAATGAGATATTTGTGCCATTTCCTAAACCTTGATTTTCTCATCTTGGCAAGGGATAATAATGTTTGTCTTTTGTGTTTGTTGTGAGAATCAGTTGAGGCATTGCATGTACTGGGTAGTACATGCCTGGTACACATAATAGGCACTCAAGTGGTACCTATAATAATTAATAATTATTGTGATTACAGTAATATGGCAACAATAGTAGTTTTTCAGCTTCTTATCAGGCAGCCTGAAGGGTTGGTTGTCGTATGGCACTATATTAGTCAAGATCAGGTAGATTATGCTGTGAAAACAACTCCCAAATCTCAGATAACAAATATAAGATGACTTAAACATATTTCAAAACGTGCAGCCTGCAGACCTCCCAGAAGTGTTTGCGCTATTAAGGATAGGAAAATCAGGCCCAGTGCGGTAGCTCATGCCTGTAATCCCAACACTTTGGGAGGCTGAGGTGGGCGGATCATTTGAGGTCAGGAGTTTGAGACCAGCCTGGCCAACATGGTGAAACCCCGTCTCTACTTTAAAAATATAAAAATTAGCCAGGCGTGGTGGCGGGTGCCTGTAATCCCAGCTACTTAGGAGGCTGAGGCAGGATAATTGCTTGAACTCAGGAGGCGGAGGCTGCAGTGAACAGAGATCGCACCACTGCACTCCAGCCTGGGCGACAGAGCGAGACTCCATCTCAAAAAAAAAAAAAAAAAAAAGATAGGAAACTCATACTGTGGCTTAAAATAACAAAGGTTTATTTCTCACTCAGGCTACACGTGCGTTGTGGTCAAAAAGGGAGTTCTTATTTTTGTCATTCAGGGACACAGGCTGATAGAGTAGCCACCATCTTGAATACTGTCAGTCACCACACTAGCAGGAAAAAATAATAAGAGCTCTGCAGGGTTTCACAAAGGCAATTAATAGCTTCCACCCAGAAGTGACACCTGTCCCTTCAGTTCACAACTCATTTGCCAGAACTAATCACATGGCCCCACCCAACCACAAGGGGGCAAGAAAGAGCAATCCTTCTTTGGCCTAGAAATAGGAAAACTGGAAATATTTGATGGACAGCATCAGTGTCCACCATAAGCACCAAGGAGAGCAGTCTAGACTCTCTCTTAGACATAGTGGTAGTCACCCAATCTTTTCTGGGTTTTCTAAGCTATTGCCTATGATGAAGTCAGAGCCCCAGAAAGCCAAGATACTGGACCCCAGCAGCTCAGCCAGCAGGAGGATGGCTTTTCTTCAGTGTAATGCCTTCAGCCTAAGGGCAAGAGACCATACAAGAAATGGTCACGGGCCAGGCGCAATGGCTCATGCCTGTAATCCCAGCACTTTGGGAGGCTGAGGCATTTGGGATCAGGAGTTTGGGACCAGCCTAGGCAACATGGCAAAACCTCATCTCTACAAAAAAATACAAAAATTAGCTGGGCTTGGTGGCACACTCCTGTTGTCCCGGCTACTCAGGAGGCTGAGGTGGGAAGATCGCTTTAGCCAAGGAGGTCAAGGCTGCAGTAAGCCAAGATCGCACCACTGCACTCCAGCCTGGGTGACAGAGCAGGACCCTGTCTCAAAAACAAAAGCAAACAAACAAACAAACAAACAAAACGGTGAAAAAGGCCATAAGAAGAGCTTTCCATTTGCTGCAAATCTCCATTTCTTCAATCACAAAACCACAGTACCACTCATTCCTACAACTACTCTGTATATTGCTATCAGCATTATTTCTTATTATAGAAAACTTTAAACATACACAAAAGTAAGGGCTGGGCGCGGTGGCTTACGCCTGTAATCCCAGCACTTTGGGAGGCCGAGGCGGGTGGATCACGAGGTCAGGAGATCGAGACCATCCTGGCTAACACGGTGAAGCCCCGTCTCTACTAAAAACACAAAAAATTAGCCAGGCGTGGTGGCGGGCGCCTGTAGTCCCAGCTACTCGGGAGGCTGAGGCAGGAGAATGGCGTGAACCTGGGAGACGGAGCTTGCAGTGAGCCGAGATCGCACCACTGCACTCCAGCCTGGGCGACAGAGCGAGACTCCATCTCAAAAAAAAAAAAAAAAGTAAGGAGAATAGTATGATGAACTACTCCATCACCTGGCTTGACCATTATCAAAATTCTGCCCTTCTTTTTTCATGGGTCCTCTCAGTCATGTTGGGTTTTACTGGAGTATTTGAAAGTAAATCCCAGATATCCTATCTTTTCACCTGTGAGACTCAATATGCATTTCTAACACACAATGACTTCTAAAAATAACCATAATTCCATTATCACACTTCCCCAACAAAATTAAACTAAACATTAGTCATCTAATATTTAGTTCATGATCATTTTTCCCTGAATGTCCAAAAAATAAAATTTTATAGTTGGTTTCCTCAAACCAGAATCCAATTAAGGTCTACAACGTTGCAATTGGTTAATTTGGGGGCTGAGGGAGTTAATTAATGCTTTTTTTTTTTAAGGGACAGGGTTTCACTATGTTTCCCAGGCTAGACTTTAATTCCTGGGTTCAAGTTATCCTCCTGCCTCAGCCTCCTAATTTTTTTTTTTTTTTTGAGACGGAATCTTGCTCTGTTGCCCAGGCTGGAGTGCAGTGGCCAATCTCGGCTCACTGCAAGCTCCACCTCCCAGGTTTATGCCATTCTTCTGCCTCAGCCTCCAGAGTAGCTGGGACTACAGGCGCCCGCCACCACGCCCAGCTAATTTTTTGTATTTTTAGTAAAGATGGGGTTTCACTGTGTTAGCCAGGCTGGTCTCGATCTCCTGACCTCGTGATCTGCCCGCCTCGGCCTCCCAAAGTGCTGGGATTACAGGCGTGAGCCACCGCACCCGGCCCGAGTAATTTTTTTTAAGTCTCTGTTAAGCTGCAATACTCCTGCCCCCTTCATTTTATCTATGCCATTGTATTTGTTTGTTTAAGAAACTAGGTCATTTTTTCCTGTCAAGTTTCTCACATTCTGGATTTGGCTGAGTGTACCCTTGCAAATGTCATTTAGCATGTTCCTTTGTCCCCTGTGATTATATTTAGAAGTTTGATTAAATTCAAGCAAGCACAGTGGCTCACGCCTGTAATCCCAGCACTTTGGGAGGCCGAGGTAGGTGGATCACCTGAGGTCAAGAGTTTGAGACCAGCCTAGCCAACATGGAGAAACCCCACCTCTACTAAAAGTACAAAAAATTAGCCGGGCATGGTGGTGGGTGCCTGTAATCCCAGCTACTCAGGAGGCTGAGGCAGGAGAATTGCTTGAACCCAGGATGTGGAGGTTTCAGTGAGCCAAGATCACGCCAATGCACTCCAGCCTGGGCAACTGAGTGAGACTCCACCTCAAAATAAATAAACAAACAAACAAATTCACATTCACTTTTTTCTGGAAACATTCCATAAGTGATACTGTATACTTCCTCTTTCATCACATCAGGAGGCACCTGGTGACTGGCGGTTCTACTTTCTTTTGTTTGTTTTTTTTGGTTTTTGAGATGGAGTCTTGCTCTGTCACCCACGCTGGAGTGCAGTGGCACGGTCTTGGCTCACTGCAACCTTTGCCTCTCAGGCTCAAGTGATCCTCCTGCTTCAGCCTCCTGAGTAGCTGGGATGACAGGCATGTGCTACCACACCCAGCTAGTTTTTTGTTTTGTTTTGTTTTGTTTTCATAGAGACAAGATTTCGCCATGTTGCCCAGGCTGGTCTCAAGCTCCTGGCCTCTAAACATCTTCCCGCCTTGGCCTCCCAAAGTGTTGGGATTACAGGTGTGAGCCACCACACCTGGGCCTTAATCTACTTTCAATGATGTTGAGATTGATCAGTAAATTCAGGCTGTCTGTCCATTAATTATAAGGTTATCCATTGTAGGTCGGGCGCAGTGGCTCACGCCTGTAATCCCAGCACTTTGGGAGGTCAAGGTGGGAGGATCACCTGAGGTCAGGAGTTTGATACCAGCCTGACCAACAAGGTAAAACCCTGTCTCTACAAAAAATAAAAAAATTAAAAAAATTAGCGGGGCGTGGTGGCAAGCACCTGTAGTCCCAGCTACTCGGGCGGCTGAGACAAGAGAATCGCTTGAATCTGGGAGGTGGAGGTTGCAGTGAGCTGAGATCACGCCATTGTACTCCAGACTGGGTGACAGAGTGAGACTCCATCTCAAAAATAAGTAAATAAATAAAAGGTTCTCCATTGTATTAGTTTCCGGTGTCTGCTGTAACAAATTACCACAAATTTTGTGTTTAAAGCAACAGACATTTATTCTCTTACCACAGAGACATTTATTCTCTACCAGCCAGAAGTCCAAAATCTACGTTTTCAATAGCACAGTGGTAAACAACAACAACAGCAACAACAAACAAAAACCTAGGTGTCAGCAGGGCTGCACTCCCTCTGGAGATTGTGGGCAGAACCCTTCCTTGCCTCTTCCAGCTTCTGGCGGCTTCTGTTCCTTGGCTTCCTTAGCCGCATCACTCCAATCTCTGCCTTTGTGGTCATGTACCCTCCTCCTCTTCATGAGTCTGTGTCTTTTCCTCTTCTATCTCTCATAAGGACACATGTCGTTGGATTTACCCCACCTAGCTAATCCAGGATGAACTCATTTCATGACCCTTAACTGAAGTTAAGGAATGAATTCATGTAATGAATTACATCGGCAAAGATCCTTTCCTCAAACAAGATAACATTCACAGTTTTCAGGGATTAGGCCGTGGACATATTATCTTTTTTTTTCTTTTTCTTTCTTTCTTCTTCTTTTTTTTTTTTTTTCTTTTTTGAGATGGAGTTTCGCTCTTATTGCCCAGGCTGGAGTGCAATGGCGCCATCTAGGCTCACCGCAACCTCCGCCTCCCGGGTTCAAGCAATTCTCCTGCCTCAGCCTCTCGAGTAGCTGGGATTATAGGCATGTGCCACCACACCGGCTAATTTTGTATTTTTAGTAGAGACAGGGTTTCTCCATGTTGGTCAGGCTGGTCTCCAACTCCTGACCTCAGGTGATCCTCCCGTCTCAGCCTCCCAAAGTGCTGGGATTACAGGTGTGAGCCACCGTGCCCAGCCTATGGACATATTTTCTAGTGGCCACCATTCGACCCTCTACACCTATCAACCTTTTATCTGATGGCACTGCTGATCATTGTCTAGATTCATTCATTCATTAAGAGTTGCAAAATGGAGATTGTCTAATTTTGTCATTCCTCCTTCTTCTTCTTTTTTTTTTTTTTTTTTGAGATGGAGTCTTGTTCTATCACCCAGGCTAGAGTAGAGGTGCAGTGGCTTGATCTCGGCTCACTGCAACCTCTTCCTCCTGGGCTCAAGTGATTCTCCTGCCTCAGCCTCCCTAGTAGCTGGGATTACAGGTGCGCACCACCATGCCCAGCTAATTTTTGTATTTTTAGTAGAGAAGGGGTTCCACCATGTTGGCCAGGCTGGTGTCGAACTCCTGACCTCAAGTGATCTGCCCGCCCCTGCATCCCAAAGTGCTGGGGTTACAGGCATGACCCGCTGCGCCAGGCCCACCTTCGTTTATTAGCTGTGAATCATCTGTAAGAAAAACTGCTCTCAATAACTGCTTTGTTACTCTGACATTTCACCCATTCAGGAAAGGTAGAATTAGTGCTTGATTATCTCGCATTTGTCTTAGGTGGGCTAAGAAGGATCTGCTTCCTAGAAGCAGATCTTGAGTCAGGAACAAAAGTAGTTTATTTGGTAAGTGATGCTAACAGGCACTGGGAGAGGAGTGGAGAAGTGGGACAGGAAAGGGAAGGGAGCCAGTTAGAGGCATGTATTAGAGCAGGTGGGCCAATGGGGATCAATCCTGCTGAGGAACCTGGGAGAAGTGTAGAAGCTGCCTCAGAGAATCCTCCCCAAGGGGCAAAGAAATAGGATATAATTGTCAACTCCCTCTGTGTTGGTTGAGAGCTCCTTCTGGGAGCATTAACTCTCTAGCATTCCTGGCTTGCCCTGAGCACAAACATGCTCCCATAGCCAGAACAAACGCCTCCAGGCAGAGTCACAGATGTTCACAAAGATGCGTCCTCCTGTAGAGGTGAATGCTGAAGGATATGGGTCACAGTACCGTCCCCCCTTTGCACTGCTAGGATCCATTTGTGCCTCTCATTCCATGAGTTCATTCTATTCTGTCTCTGATGCTTCAAGGTGGTGGCTGATTGCAATTTCTAATTCTTTTAAAAGAAAGTCTTAACAACAGGCTGGGTGTGGTGACTCCTGCCAGTAATCCCAACACTTTGGGAGGCCGAGGCTGGAGGATCACTTGAAACTAGGAGTTTGAGACCAGTCTGAGCAACAAAGCAAGACCTCTGTCTCTAAAAAATAATTTAAAAATTCACCAGGCGTGGTGGCGTGTGTCTGTAGTCCCAGCTACCAGGGAGGCTGATATGGAAGGATTTCTTGAGCCTAGCAGTTTGAGGCGCAGTGAGCCATAATCATGCCACTGAACTCCAGCCTGGGTGACAGAGTGAGACTCCATCTGTTTTTTTTTTTTTTAATTGTACAATGGGTGGGTTAGTAGGACAAACCATAACCATTGCTGCAGTTGGTTGCAAGGCTGAAATCAGCATTCAACATTTCCCTCCTCTACAGTTCATTCTGTTAGTCTGCAGGGCTTTCTCAATGGAAAATCCAGACCTTCATGACTGAAGTTCTCTGCCTTACATCACCATGCCCTTGCCAGGCCATCATTGATACAACTGCCTGTTCATGGGATAATGAAGATCAAATATCTCTGCTTGCATAATTCCTTTCTTTGTGTACTGGCCAATTGGTATGAGATGCCCCAAATGACCCAATGGCTGCTGTAGCCTTAGGTTTAGTAGCATCTTCACTGTGACCTCTGGGAGCTGCATCTGCCACTTCAAGAACCAGGGCTTCTAATCCCACAGACCTTAAATGTATAAGGACAGGAGGCACAAATTCCCCCAAGTGAGTCACTAGGACTGATGGTGAGAGGGGTATTCCTTCTTCCATACCTTGGTTCCTGTACCCCTGATTTCTAACTGTCTGGCATATAGCACTATATAATGGCCATTAACTCAAAATATATACTTCATTTTGCAGGACTGCACCCAAATCTCACAGGATCTTTTCCCCAGGCTGGCTTTAGATGTGCTGTAAAGAGGCCACAGTAATGTACTAACAAGCTGGCAGTTTCAAGGTGATGTGATATATTATAGCATAGAACCAATGGATCCTGTGGCTGTGCATCCATTGTCACATTTCCTTCGCTATAAAGTGCAGACCCTTGGTTAGAGGTGAGACTATAAGGGGTCTCATAAGGACAAATCATTGACTTTGGGCCCTTGATATTTGGTGCTGGCCCAGGCATTTGGTCAGGAAAGACAAATCCATATCCAGAATATGCACTAATCCCAGTGAGGACATATTGCTCCTCCCCCAGATTGAAAGAGATACACTGAAATCAACATACCATCAGGCAGGCACAGTGGCTCACACCTGTAATCCCAGCACTTTGGAAGGCCGAGGCAGGCACTCACTTGAGATCAGGAGTTGAAGACCAGCCTGGGCAACATAGTGAAACCCCATATCTATTAAAAATACAAAAAAAAAAAAAAATTGCCAGGCACAATGGTGTGCACCTGTAATCCCAGCTACCCAGGAGGCTGAGGTGGGAGAATCACCTGAGCCTGGGAGGTCGAGGCCACAGTGAGCCGAGATCACACCACTGCACTCCAGACTGGGCAACCAGAGTGAGACCCTGTTTCAAAAACAAACAAACAAACAAAAAACATACTATCAACTGGCTGGTTGATCTCCTTGAGGGCTGGTACCATGTTGAGGGGTCAGCATCTGTCTCTGCTGCAGACAGGCCAAACATTCAGCAGTGGCAGTAGCTAGATGAGCCTTGATGAGAGGTCGCCCATGCTAGTGGGCCCTTGCATAGATTCCAGATCTACTGCCACAACTACTCCATTCATGGGCTCACCATGGAAGCCCTGGCATGACAAAGGCTGGTTTATCCACTGGAGTCCTTCTGTCCCCTTAGCTCTTCAATGCCCCCTCTGCAGTGAATGTTCTTTGATGGTACTGACATAAGACACAAAGATTTATCACTTTGTGCCCACTCCTATAAGTCCATCCATATACCTCTTCCCTGGACATCCTTACCTCCAACCTTCCAATCTTACTCTCTTCTGGGCCCTGACCAGCCAACTAAGCCACTGCCACTGCTCAAGAATCCATGTGTATATACTTTCCTCAAGTCACCTCTCTCACTGCAGAGTAGACCACCAGCATGCTGCTTGAAACGTCCTCCCTGGAGGATTTCCCCTCATGTTGTCTTTCAAGGCCACCCCTGAGTGGGGCTGTAGTGTGGCAGCATCCAAGTTTAGCTCACATCAATAAATCAGACAGGCCCATCCATGAACCTGGCCTGCATTTTTTCCTCCTCTAAAGCCTGGTTATAGGGAAATTCCCACAAGGCTACAGGGTGAGCTAAGAGAGGTACAGGAGCAACAGGGACAGGTAAAGTGGGATCTGGACTCCCTGCACTTGTAGCTTATTCGTGCCCTCTGGACATGCTTACACCCAATCCTAAATGTACCATTTTTTGTTGCTACTGTGCCCATATGTCCTCATGACTTGGTGGGTCTGAAAATTCCCAGATCTTGATGGCAAACAGAGACAAGAAAGGGAAGGAATCCAGTAAAGGGTGCATAATGGAATAGGCTATGGCCATGGACAAATGAAATGCACGCTGCTGGGGCACTCTGGGAGCCAGTGTAGAACTTGCCGCCGTTTTCCCACCTGAGAGATGAGGAGGCTGGGGTTTTAATTTACCAACTCCGGCAAGGTGCGGTGGCTTACGCCTGTAAGCCTAGCACTTTGGGAGGCCGAGGTGGGCAGTTCACCTGAGATCAGGAGTTTGAGGCTAGCCTGGCCAAAGTGGTGAAACCCCTGTCTCTACTAAAAATATAAAAATTAGCCAGGCACGATGGCATGTACTGTAATCCCAGCTACTGGGGAGGCTGAGGCAGGAGAATCACTTGAACCCAGGAGGCTGAGGTTGCAGAGCCGAGATCACACCACTGCACTCCAGCCTGGGTGACAGAGTGAGACGCCATCTCAAATAATAATAATAATTTACCACCTCCCCACCTGTTACTGGTTGAGGACTGGTCCCAGGGGCATTAACCTTCTGGTGCTTCTGACTTACTGTGCATTTAGGCCAAGCATTTAGGTACAGACACAAATATCCTCGGGCAGCAAGCAGTCTTTGGTTTGTTGAGTGCTAAGAGAATATGGGTCAGGCCACCAACAGGATCTGCTACCCCCTATTAATTTTCAAAACCTTGAATGGTGCCCTATCAATGTCCAAAGGTGACCAATGGTTTTATTTTTCAGTATCATTATGAACTTATGGAATTTTCATGTATTTGATATGTTTCAATCTCGTACAGTCATTATTCATTTTAATGCTGAAACTGTTTCATCTTTGGCCAGTGGAAGTCTTCTCAAGTTGGCTACTGGATCTTTTTAAAATGACCCTCACCTGACCTGAGTTTTATAACTGTAACTTCCTTATTCTCTCTCCCTCTTTTTTTCTTTTTTGTTTTAGAGAGACAAGGTCTTGCTCTGTTACCCAGGCTAGAGTGCAGTGGCACTGTTCTAGCTCACTGCAGCCTCATACTGTGGGCTCAAGTGATCCTCCTGCCTCAGTCTCTCAAGAAGTCAGAACTACAGGCATGTGACACCATACCCAGCTGATCTTTCCTTCCTTCCTTCCTTCTTTCCTCCCTCCCTCCCTCACTCTTTCTCTCTCCCTTTCTTCCTTCCTTCCTTCCTTCCTTCCTTCCTTCCTTCCTTCCTTCCTTTCTTTCTTTCTTTCTTTCTTTCTTTCTTTCTTTCTTTCTTTCTTTCTTTCTTTCTTTCTTTTCTTTCTTTCTTTTCTTCTTATTGGTAGACACCAAGTCTTGCTATGTGCCCAGGCTGGTCTCCAACTCCTGGATTCCAGCAATCCTCCTGCCTTGGCCTCCCAAAGTGTTGGGATTACAGATGTGAGCCACCACACCCAGCCAAATTTCCTTATTCTCTAGTCTGACAAGCTATCCTGGCCCAGACCTGGAATTTCTCCAAAGAGTCCTTGTTCCTTTTAGCAGGAAGTGCCATGTAGAGATCACAACTGGGACCCACAGGGGATTCATTGTTATTGGGTTGTCACTACTTCTGAGCCTTTTCAGTGGCATGAGTTCATGCTGATAGTTCCAATTCAGATGAAGGATTAGCAGTATTTGCTGGGCATGGTGGCTTATGCCTGTAATCCCAGCACTTTGGGAGGCTGAGGCAGGCAGACCACCTGAGATCAGAGTTAGAGACAATCCTGGCCAACATGGTGAAACGCCATCTCTACTAAAAATACAAAATTAGCCGGGCATGGTGGTGCGCTCCTGTAGTTCCAGCTACTTGGGAGGCTGAGGTAGGAGAATCGCTTGAACCCAGGAGGCGGAGGCTACAGTGAGCCAAGATTATACAACTGCACTCCAGCCTGGGCAACAGAGAGAGACTCTGTCTCAAAAAAAAAGAAAAAAGAAAAAAAAAGATTAGCAGTTTTTGCTTAACTCTTCTTCTCTTACAGTCAAAATCTTGGTTTCTAACACTATTAATATAACTAATTACTTATTTGCTTTATTATGATAAATAGTGTGTTATAATAATGCTCAAAATAATGCCAACATTAAAATTAATCCATGGCTCCTTTTGCCCTTAGAGAGCTGGAGACATATAGTCAAAATGTTGAGTTTTATAATCACTTGAAATAATTTTTTTTTTTTTGAAACAGAGTCTCACTCTGTCTCCCAGGCTGGAGTGCAGTAGCACAATCTTGGCTCACTGCGACCTCCGCCTCCCAGGTTCAAGGGATCCTCATGCCTCTGCTGCTCCAGTAGCTGGGATTATAGGTGTGCACTACCACACACAGCTAATTTTTGTATTTTTAGTAGAGATGGCATTTCACCTTGTTGGCCAGGCTGGCCTCGAACCCCTGACCTCAGGCGATCCGCCCATCTCTGCCTCCCTAAGTGCTGGGATTACAGGCTTGAGCCTGGCCGAAAGAAAATTCTTCTATGTAGTTTTGCTCCAACTTCATATATAGTTAGGTACATTTGTTACAATTTGTTTTATACTTTTAGGGATTGCTTCATTTTTCTTCATTTTAATTTAATTAAAATTAATGTAAACTCTCTCTAATTAATTTCGTATTTTAATTATATAAAATATTTACATGGCTCCAACATCAAAACCATACAACAAGGGGTTATTACCATTTTACAGGTGAAGAAACTGAAGCACAGGGAGATTAGTACCTGCCCCAACATCACAGACAAATGAGTGGTCCTTCCCCATAGGAGGCTGGGAGAGGCACTACAGGCAGCCTTCTGGTGGGACCTCAAGAGGTAAATTCAGATGTACTCGGGCTCCAGCCCTCCAGTTCCTCCCGCTGTTCTTTGTGCAACAAGCTGATGGTCTCCTCTGAACACATGGGTTTGCAACCCTCAAAGCGCGGTCTGACCAGCTCATGGGGACGCTGGCTCCTGCTGGTGCAGCAGGGGGGCTCTCTGATGATGCTGTTCAGCCTGTAGTCCCCATTGCTGTCTCCCTACTGCTCCACATCCCCTCCCACTCCACACTCCCTGTCTGCGGCAGCAAGAGCCCTCAGAGCCACACTCAGCCATTTCTGCCCCCCACCCCCTCCTGCCTGGGCTGGGGTCCCGTGCTTCCTGGCCTCTTTCAGAAGCTATCAAAGCCCCCATTCTCTGAACACAGCTGTGCCAGCATTCAGAGCCACATCCCCCTCTTCAGCCCTACTCCCACATGCCTATGGCACAAGACCCAGATGCCCGTGCAGGGCCTCGGAGAGGAACTCAGCTGCCTAGGCCCCCACTCCAAGTCTGGGAGAAAGGGGGCAGGTGTTCAAGGAGGTTGGCAGGACAGGCTCTCCCAGTGGCCACTGTGGAATAGAATCCAGTGAGGAAGGCCCAAGGCTAACACTGGAGATGGGGGGAACTCAGGATGCAGGAGCGTGGAGGGCAGATTCTCTTTTCTCAACTTGGGTCATGGCCTCAGCTTTGGCATGGATGGGGGATGTTGGGGGTCCGGTGGAGGCAGGAGATTGATTGTTCTCATCCAGAGAGGCTGGAAAATTCCCCAGGGCCCAGGAGACTGGGAGGCAGCCAGCTGGGCTGCACGTGGGAGAGGGAGGAGAGCTGCCCACGCTCTCCCTCTCTCTCTTTCTTCTCTCCACCTCCCTCTTTCTCCCTCCCCTGATAGACATCTGGGGAGCCCTGGCAAGAACCTTGGCCTGGGAGTCAGGAGACTTGATTTTTGGTCATGGTTCAGCCAGTTCCATGCTGTGTGACTCTGGACAGTTGCTTGACCTCTTTGGGTCTCAGTTTCCGTGTTCAGAAGATATTCAAGGTTACTGGAGGAATTTTTCTCCTGTTACTGAGACAGGAGGTTCTACCTGAAATCTGACTTTCATTCTTCCCGCTGCCATTGATTCTGTTTGCTTTCAGCCAATCCCCAGGGATCTCTTTCTGAGATCTGGAGGGGCTAGGCAGAGCCCCTCCTCTGGAGGGGGTTCTTGCCTCTGGAGGAGGCTGATTCTTGCCTCCTCTCAGAAAGTAAATAGAAACGGGGGAAGACACATATGGCCAAGTGTCCGTAATTGTAAAGAGAGTCTCTGATCAGCAATTGCTGGTTCAAACTGCAGGTTAGCCTTCAGTATAAATTTTCTCAGCTGGAAATGTTGGAAAAGCCTCAGAGTGCCCATTTCCTCCCCTGAGAAATCCTCTGGAAAGGTCTCTACTCCCAAATAATGAGCTCTCCAGGGCAGTGGTCCTCTGACCTCCTGGCCAGGAGATCTGGGCAGATTAGGTTGCTGTGTGTGTGCGCAAGTGTGTGTGACTGGGAAAGGAAAAGAACTAGATTTTGCTAAGCCCGAGTCATGGGCCAGGGGTTTCCCTTGCCTAGAACAGGTACAGTAGATATTGCCCAGTGCAGTAGATATTATTCAGCCCACTGTTCAGAAGAGAGAGTTTCAGAGGAGGAACGGGGCCCTTTCTGAGGTTTGCCACTGCAAATGACAAAACAGGAATTTGACCTCAGTGCCTGTGATGCCAGAGTCCTCGTCTGCGCAACAGCAGCTGTCTGTTCTCTCACCACGTCTGGTCTCCCACCAGGGATCTGCTTTTTGGAACAGACTGTCTGGTACCAGCCCTTGTCCAGACCCAGGTGCTGCTGGCCTCAGTCAAGGGTGGATTCCCCCAGGGCACCGAAGTGAGTGCCAATCCTTCTGGTCATGAGGAGAGGTGGTAAGGAAGGTCACTTTCTCTGCCTTCTCTGGTCACAGCCAGGTTTCCCTGAGGCAAGAACTGTGGTTACATCTGAGCCACCACTGGGATTAAATTTCAGCCGCTTGGTTGCCTGGCTCAGCCTGGCTGGCCTCAAGCCCTGTAGAGCCAGTGTGGAGGTAGGCTGGACACATGCATCCATGCTGAGACTGTCCTGAGGAAGGGGGGTTTTCTTGCAGCTCTGAAATGCAACTTCTAAGGGGAGCAAAAAGACATCCTAAGGCTGCCCAGATCTGTCCCCGAAGGCCTTCTCAGATCCGCTCTTTCTACTAGAAGAATTGGAACTGCATTTCCAGGCCTCGAGCAGTTCCTGGTCCACAGCTGGAATTCAATTCAACTCATATTGGTCTAACGAAGTAAATAGATCGAGGTCCCTTCCTCCCCAGACTGTCCCAGGCACCTTCCTCTGTCCCCTTCAGTCTTGCATCCTTTCTGGGGCATTTTTCTTTTCTTTTCTTTTCTTTTCTTTTTTTTTTTTTTTTTTTTGAGAGGGAGCCTCACTCTATCACCCAGGATATAATGCAGTGGCACGATCTCAGCTCACTGCAACCTCCACTTCCCAGGTTCAAGCAATCCTCCCTGCCTCAGCCTCCCAAGTAGCTGGGATTACAGGTGTCCACCACCACACCGGCTAATTTTTGTATTTTTTTAGTAGAGATGGGGTTTCGCTATGTTCACTAGGCTGGTCTTGAACTCCCGACTTCAGGTGATCCGCCCACCTTGGCCTTCCAATGCTGGGATTATAGGCATGAGACACCGCACCTGGCTGGCATTTTTCTTGGTAAGGAAATTTACCATCTACCCCTCCCTACCCCCCAGGTCTTCTTTTCCTGTCCCTACAGTAGATGGGTCTCTGGGAAGGGGCCAGAATCTTCCCTTTAGACCCTCAAAGATTTGGAGTGGGTTTTTATGTGAGGTTCTCAAAGCCCTTTGGAACCAAGTCCATGGCACTGGGAGTGAAAGCCAGGCAGTGGTGAGTGGGGGCGTTGGCACATTCAGTGGGGAGCAGTCCAGAGTTCCCAAGAGGGACCTAGGGTGCAGTCTAGATGGAAGGCTGGGGATCTGCCTTGAGGTTGCATTTGCATTGAATGCACCTTACTTTACTTGGGGTATTTTGAAGATGCTGTGGAGATTATGAGGATCAAAGCCCTCCAAAGCTATCCTTGGTGCCAATATTGGTATCCAGGGGAGGGAATCTAGGCATCTGGCTGTCCTGCCCACTGTCCGTGCCAGGGGCTTTGCCTACAGTCCCAGGAGGGAGGAGGGAAAAGCAAAGAGAGCCTGGGAAAGGAGAGGGAAGCAGAGGCCCTGGAGCTGGGGGAAAGGAGGGTCATTGGTATTCTGGGCGCTGAGGAGTTCCTGGCTGGGCAGCACTCAAGGCCCACCCCCTGGCATCAGGCTGCACATTCAGCATCGACAGCCCTGGCCAGTAGGCCTTCTGGGCTCCCAGCAACGCCTGCATTTTGCACATTGGTTTGCATGACTGGTAATGTCCCTTCACAGGGCCACCCTCACCCCACCCCCACCCCAGGTCTAGAGATTTCCTGAATTGCTTTGCTTAACCCATGATTCTGCTGTCTAACCTCCATCCTTCCAGCTGCAAAGTCAGCTCCTCCTCTGTGCAGGGAGTGGGAGCACCACAGGAGCCAATGCCCAATCATAGCTGCCTCCAGGGAGGTAGCTACGGTCCTTTGCACCCCATTCTGCCTCCAGAAAAGAGTTTTCCATTTTTTTTATTAGAAAGGGTGTCTCTTTTCAGGAGCAAAGCCCCCATTCTCCCTTCATCCACTTCTTACAGTCTAATTGACTCCCTCCTCCTTCTTCTTTGAACAACGAGAAGACTCTCCAGTTGTCCAACTTCCACCCCTCCAGCTGCAACATCGTCATCCTTTAGCTCAGCGAACGCTGGGCGAACGCTCCCTCCCCGCCCCTCCTGCCCCTCCTCCCTACTCCAAGCCCTCGGCTTCTCATCCGCTGAACGATGTCCTACTTCGCTCGTCCTTGCTCTCGCCGCTGCTGCCGGAGCCGAAGCAGAGAAGGCAGCGGGTCCCGTGACCGTCCCGAGAGCCCCGCGCTCCCGACCAGGGGGCGGGGGCGGCCCCGGGGAGGGCGGGGCAGGGGCGGGGGGAAGAAAGGGGGTTTTGTGCTGCGCCGGGAGGGCCGGCGCCCTCTTCCGAATGTCCTGCGGCCCCAGCCTCTCCTCACGCTCGCGCAGTCTCCGCCGCAGTCTCAGCTGCAGCTGCAGGACTGAGCCGTGCACCCGGAGGAGACCCCCGGAGGAGGCGACAAACTTCGCAGTGCCGCGACCCAACCCCAGCCCTGGGTAGGTGAGTGCCTCCGCAGCCCCGCCGCCCGCCGTGGGGTCGGGGACAGGGAGAAGGGAGTGCCTGCCTGGTCTGCGCCCCCCGCCTGTCAGCCCTTGCCTCGAGGCTCTGGGGCACCCAACTCGTCGACTCCTGACACCGCAGCGGGGTAGGCTGCTGGACAGCCCCGAGCGCCTGCAGCTGCTGCTGCCATCTCTGATCTACATGCTTCCAGCTCTGCCAGTGGCAGCCCCCCTGCTGCTCGCAGTCTGATCAGCAACCCCTCGGGTCCTCGCATCTTCCCTGCTGCGCGCTCCTGTCCCAGCGCGGCCGCCGAGATTTCCGACCTTGTCCCAGGCAGGGCGGTAGCGTTCCGGATCAGTCCTTGCCTCCGTGCCCCCACGCACAGGCAGCTCCAGGAGCAGCGGCCAGCAACCCTTCTGGGGACACCTTACTGTAGTCCGGCAGGACAGCCGATCAGAGCCGCTCTAGGGGGTGGTCGGAGTGCCCATTTCGGCTGGAATCCCAACTCGGCTCCTTGCTCTGTGACCTTGGGGTAGTTAGTTGACTTCTCTGAACCTCGGGTTCCTCATCGGTGTAATGAGCAAAACATAAACAATCTTTTTCTCACAGTTGAGGTTATCCACAGGAAGCATTTAGGAGAACTGGCTCAGGTAGACATCAGTAACTATTAGCTGGAATTCGGTTACCACTATTGCATTCCTTCCTAGCACTGCCAGGGGCCTGGGAATTCCCTCTCCCAGGTATTTCCATATCCTGTCAGGTATTCCCCCACCTATTGGAATAGCTCTGCCTACATGGTTCTAATAGGACCAAGAGATTGGCGTCAAGTCCAAGGGGCACCATTATTATCTGCATTACTTAGATTGCAGATGATGACAGTAAGATCAGGGAACAGTGTTACCCTTAGACCCACCCACAGTATTACCAGTGCCTATGTTGCTATGGCTAACTTTGCTATTTATAACAGCATCATCCACATTTCAGATTCTATACGAGAGGGATCTGCAACTGCTCGGCTGGTGTCATTGCTAATAGTATTATTAGTTTTGCTTCCAATAAAAAGGACTATTTATATGATGATTGCAATTACTTCTACAGGCCCTAAGGCCCTGCTTATATTGTGTAGGCTCATGTTGCTCCTCATGAAGCCGTTAAGGGGGTAGCAGAGAGCTTCCCTCCTGCTATAGCCAAAGCTCTGGCTTCTTGTGCCTCCCTGCTGACCCTGCTGAGTGCTGGAGCTCAGTTCCTATGGGACAGACCTTGGCTGCCGGCTGATGGGCATTCAGCATGGAGGTGGTGGGTGTTGTTAGATGTGTGTACACACGTGCATGCCTACACACACACACACACACACACACACAGAGAGAGAGAGAGAGAGAGAGAGAGAGAGAGACCTGGTCTTAACTCTCTGGGTTGGGTCTATGAAGACTGTGAGGGAGATGGACATCCCGGGTCAGACAGAAATGATGTGACAAGAGGAAAGTTTCCTGAACAGCTCAAGAAATTCAAAACAAGGGCAGAGATACAGACGCTGGAGCTGAAACAGAGAGGGGGATGTTGTGGCGTCAAGGGAACGGACCGCATGACTGCTGAGCTCTCAGGGTTAGAGTTGGAGAGGTGTGGCCTGCTCTGGAGGAAGAGAAGAGGAAGTGGAGATGAGTGGTGTGTGGGATAGAGAAGGCCACAGAACCCTGGACCCCTGGGTTCTGAGGCTGGTACCGGATGTGGGGAAGTCTGAGTTTCCTCAGGGCTCCTAGCTGCAATTGGGAGGCTGAGGCCCGAGACTGGAGAGACAGAGCTCTCTCAGAACTGCACGGGGCTACCCTCTTGGCCTCACTGGTCAGTGACTCCCATTTTTGGGGTCAAGGGTAGGTTGCCCTCCATGTTCCAGAGCAGTTAGGTCCTCATTGGCCTTAGGCCCTCTTCCCTCACTCTCCCACTGTCAGACAGAGGTGAAAGGGTGGTCCAGGGTGTTGGCCCCAAAATGACTCCAACTATATGGGTCTCTGGGCTGCCCGTCAGAGAGATGGGAGCCAGGTCTGTGAGCAGCTCCAGCTCCAGCCCAGAGAGAAGGGAGGGAGGGCACCAGAAGGGGGCCAGGCCCAGGCCCTGGCACAGCTCAGATGCATGGCAAACAGTCTTCCCAGCACCCGGTGGGCACTGGCTGCTCCTGCCCAATGGTCCCCACTCCAGCCCCAGAACAGTCCTCCCAAGCACCCCAATGCCTGGAGCTGGTCTCCGCACCTCTAATCTGGCCCCATCAAGAACCTCCTCCCTCTGAAAGGTCAGAGAGAGGCCCTAAGCATCTGGTTGTGCCACTCCTCTCCCAACTCTGACCCTAGGGAATGATATCCAGACACAGTGGGGGAGATGGGGGTTATGATGGCAGGGAGGTGGGAGGATCTGGGAAAAGTAGGAAATTTCCCATCATCTCAGGCTTAGGAAAGTGCAGGGACAGGTATGAAGGCAGATGCTGAGAGGGCAGGGAAGATGGGGGATAAACAGTGGGCCTGGAATGGGAGTGCACAGCCAGTGGAATAAACCTGATCTCTAGGAAGTCCTGCCTGTAGTCTAACCTTCAATTCTCTTGCTGCATCATTGGCCTATTCCATGGCATACCTGGATCTCCATGCTCTTCTAAGTTTAGCCCAACCCTTAAAGATGATGTAGCTCTGAGTCTTCTCTCCTGGGAGCACATTGCCCTCGTGCCTGACTTGGCTTTACTAGGGATCCAGGGTCAGCCCTATCCTTCTCTGAGCCTCAGTCTCCATTTCTCAATGTCACAACACATCCTTTTTATGAGAGTGTAAGTGCTTCGAGATCTTTGGAGGAATATTCTGGGTTCTAGAGCTTCTGATAGCCAGGGGTAGGAAGGGGTAGCCCCTCCCATTTATTCTCCCCCCCCTTAGTCCACCCTCCAGCCCAAGGCTTTCACAAAAGGTAGGGTGGGGGAAGGGAGGGGCTGGATAGAGGCCAGACTGGCAGAGACAGGGGCTTTGTCCCAACTGATTTCTGAGCCAAGAGTTCCGGTGGGAAAGCCCGTGCCAGGCAGAAAGGAGAGGCTGGGAAGAAGAAGGGAGGAGGCAGCCAAGGAAGGGGGATGGAGAATGTTGGGGAGTAAAGAGAGGAGTTTCCTTACAAATAATGGTGGGGAGGAAGTAGAGGAGAGGGTGGGCTCAGGAGAAGCTGTGCTTACTTGCGTTCGGTCTAGGAGGCCCTCCTGGAAAAGGCCAGGTGAGTATGGTGTCCCTGGAGGCAGGGACAGTCTAGAAGGCAGAAGAGGCTAAAGAGATACTATGGGAGAAGGCTCTGGGTTCGAGGAAGGAGTCTGGCACTGGGAGGAGCAGATGGAATTCTGAGTATAAGAGCACCCACCATTCATGCTGTAAACTGAGCTCCTACTGTCTGCCTGGTGCTATGCATTTGTACAGGAGTTTTAAGATACTAAACACTCTCAAAGCACATGGTCCTATCTCAACTCATGAGATAGTAATGATGATGCTTTTTTATAAGTAAGAAAATAAAGGCTCAGAGAAGGTAAGGAGCTTGGCTTAGGTCACACAGTGAGTTGACTAGGACTCGGGTTTTGGTTCTGAGAAGAAATCACTTGCTGGGAAGATGGGGATCAGAAACAGAGAGTCCATGGTGATGTGAAGGTAGGGGACTTCTGGAGCCAGGATATGTGTGAACCCACATGGGTGTGGTAGGGAGCAGGGGGGAAGTCCATCCTGAAGTCTAACCCCATCTTTCCTTCTCATGTCCCTCTGTCAGCCTGCAGCATGGCCCAGCTGTTCCTGCCCCTGCTGGCAGCCCTGGTCCTGGCCCAGGCTCCTGCAGCTTTAGCAGATGTTCTGGAAGGAGACAGCTCAGGTAAGCAACCCCACTTGGGGTCACCGTCTCTGTCTTGTTCAGCCCTAACCAACTGCTTCCAGGCTTAGGGGCCCCAGGAAGAGAGAGAATTGGAGGGCTGTGGGGAAGCGTCCAGGCTGGAACACTTGGAAATAAGGGCTGAGCTGTGAGCATCTGGTGGGTTGGAGAAATCATGGGGCAGGACTAGGGAAGGGCACTGGGTGCAAGGCTTTGGGCCCCTAAGGTGGAGGATAGGGGATCCTGAAGCTAGGAGGTGGGAAAGGGGTGGAACTGGGAGAAACCCTGAAGGAGGCCCTAAAGGGAGCAGACTGGGAAACTGGGCTGGAGGACTCAGGGGGCGAGGTTGGAGGACCCTGGGGTGTGGTCTAGGAATTTTGGAGAGGAAGTGGAAGACTCTGAGAGCAGGGCAAGGAATCCTGGGGGCTGAATTGACTGGGAGACTTTGGGGGATGGGTCTGGAGACCGTCGGGGTGGTCCTGGAGGACCTAGAGGTAGGGCTGCAGGACCCTGGCCCCTGGCCCCTGGCCCCTGGTCCTAGGGGGGCCGGGGAATCCTGGGGCCGGAAGGAGGGATCCTGGAGCGGGGCTTGGAGGCCACCGGGTGGGACTCTGAGGGTCGACAGCGTTAAGTTCCAGCCGGCTCCACCCGTTCACAGAGGACCGCGCTTTTCGCGTGCGCATCGCGGGCGACGCGCCACTGCAGGGCGTGCTCGGCGGCGCCCTCACCATCCCTTGCCACGTCCACTACCTGCGGCCACCGCCGAGCCGCCGGGCTGTGCTGGGCTCTCCGCGGGTCAAGTGGACTTTCCTGTCCCGGGGCCGGGAGGCAGAGGTGCTGGTGGCGCGGGGAGTGCGCGTCAAGGTGAACGAGGCCTACCGGTTCCGCGTGGCACTGCCTGCGTACCCAGCGTCGCTCACCGACGTCTCCCTGGCGCTGAGCGAGCTGCGCCCCAACGACTCAGGTATCTATCGCTGTGAGGTCCAGCACGGCATCGATGACAGCAGCGACGCTGTGGAGGTCAAGGTCAAAGGTGAGAGGGCAGGGAGGTTCCAGAGGGAGGGAGGGAGGGAGGGAAGGGAGGACTCTTGCCTTCGGGGATCCCACAGTGTGAGAGGGAAGCAAAGGTAGCTGGAAGGCGCAGCCTGGGTTGGAAAAAGAGTGAGGAGACACGGGCCTTTGTTGTCTCCTTTCTCTCTTCAGGTGGAGGACATTCTACCCACAATCTAACTTAAGTCCCTCATGCTGTAGAGTGAGCACAATTGAACTTTATTTACCCTTGTGTACAGAGGAGTGACAAGGAGGGTGAGGGGAGGCCAGCGTGCTGGGTGCTCACCTGGCTCAGGGGTCCTCTCTGCCCCACAGGGGTCGTCTTTCTCTACCGAGAGGGCTCTGCCCGCTATGCTTTCTCCTTTTCTGGGGCCCAGGAGGCCTGTGCCCGCATTGGAGCCCACATCGCCACCCCGGAGCAGCTCTATGCCGCCTACCTTGGGGGCTATGAGCAATGTGATGCTGGCTGGCTGTCGGATCAGACCGTGAGGTGGGCAGGGGCTGTGGATTGGGGCTTCTATTGGCCCCTGAGGTGGCCATGGCCCCCCTTCTGCTGGGTGCTGCCTGCTGTGTCAGGCTGGACATGCAGGGCTTTTTGCCTCTGGGGGATGAGGCTGGTCTGAGGAGGGGAGGTGAGGACCCTGAGCATGTGCATCCCTGCAGTGCTAGAAGGACAGCCAGCTGTCAGCAAGTGTCTGCACTGTGGTGGCAGTGGGGTTCAATAGAATCAATATGGGCTGGCTCCCTGGTGAAAGCATCTGTACTAAGTGATTCTGTCCTTCCTCCCTAGGTATCCCATCCAGACCCCACGAGAGGCCTGTTACGGAGACATGGATGGCTTCCCCGGGGTCCGGAACTATGGTGTGGTGGACCCGGATGACCTCTATGATGTGTACTGTTATGCTGAAGACCTAAATGGTGATTAGGAGTGAGAGGTTCCCAGGGGACAATTTCCTACTCCCATGCTGCCCATAGGTCCTCCCGGGGCCTCTGCAGGACCTTACTATCCCTCCTGAGTTTAAGGGGGCAAGCAGGAGTAAGGAGACAATTGGTGTCCCTCTCTCCAAACACTGTCACAGAGGCAAGCTCATGACCAAAGTCTCAGCCAGGCAGCAGGATACCGAGTTTAACTCATCTACCACCTGCCAGGTGGACTCTGTGCATGACTCTGCAGAACAAGAAGTTTGGGCCCCATCTCTTTGAGCTCTAATATCCATCTTGAGGTTCTATTCAGACTATGATCCTATGAAGTAGAGTAGTTGACTCCCTGCCACAGATGAGGGAACTGGAGAAGCTTGCCCAGGGTTCCCATGGGAGACCAGAGTGGAAGGAGCTACCAGCTGCCTGATAACCCAGCCTTCTCTTCTCCACCCAGGAGAACTGTTCCTGGGTGACCCTCCAGAGAAGCTGACATTGGAGGAAGCACGGGCGTACTGCCAGGAGCGGGGTGCAGAGATTGCCACCACGGGCCAACTGTATGCAGCCTGGGATGGTGGCCTGGACCACTGCAGCCCAGGGTGGCTAGCTGATGGCAGTGTGCGCTACCCCATCGTCACACCCAGCCAGCGCTGTGGTGGGGGCTTGCCTGGTGTCAAGACTCTCTTCCTCTTCCCCAACCAGACTGGCTTCCCCAATAAGCACAGCCGCTTCAACGTCTACTGCTTCCGAGGTGAGCCCACCTCCCTGCAGAAGCTGAGACCAATCTCAGAAAGGCAGAGTTGAGTCCTAAAAGTCCTACCCCAGTCTGATCAGTTTAGCTCAGGGCTTTGCCATTTGCCTGAAGTGGTCGTGGGTGAAGTCCAGCTTGTCATCTAGGGTTCTAATTCTGGGCATGCCCTCTGGTGTGGTGTCTGTCAGCTGTTTGGCCCAAGGAGTAGTCACCTTTTGGCCTCTCCTTATCTGCCTTCCCACCAGTAGTCCATGCCTTGTTTGCTCCAGCTGGGCTGCTGAATAAGCTCCCATCTCCTGTCAGCTTATTGGCAGAGCAAAGACGACCAACATTCTGTGAATTCAATGAGTAATCTGCCCAAGTTCTTCCAGTCAACAACCAAATGCCCTCAGGAGCCCTCTGGAGGATTTCCAGAAACTACAGCTTAAGAAGGTGTCAGATCTTTAACTACCAAATACTGGTGGATGGATACAATTCCCCCAAAAGGGAGCAAGACCTTAAGTACAGTTGGGAATAGAGATAGCTTTCTGCCCACATCTTATGGCTTGTTTCTTTTTTTGAGACAGGGTCTCACTCCGTCCCCCAGGCTGGAGTGCAGTGGTGTGATCATGGTTCATTGTAGCCTCAACCTCCCTGGGCTCAGGGGATCCTTCCACTTCAACCTCCGGAGTAGGTGGGACCACAGGCTTATGCCACCATGTCTAGCAAATTTTTGTAATTTTTGTAGAGATGGGGTTTCACCACATGCCCAGGCTGGTCTTGAACTCCTGAGCTCAAGCAATCTACCTATCTTGGACTCCCGAAGTGCTGGGATTTATAGGTGTGAGCCACTGCACCCAAACCTGCCCATATCTTATGTTGGGAGCTGGAGCGGGAGGCAGTTTCTGGGACTCTCAGATGCAAAAGGCCCAGGCCAAGGGTGACCGACAATAAGAGAGGCATTGCCATGCGGTGTCTCGGTCCTTCCCCAGTTTTAAGCCTGAAATACTGTTACAAGAGCTGGAAGCAGAAATGGAAGGAGCAGACACAGCCTTGAACCTCAGGGAGCACTTGGTCTGAAGGATGAAGACACAGCTTTTGCCATGGGAACCCCCAGCAAAGGGAAGACAAGATGCCTCACTCCCAGGATGAGGAGAGACTGAGAGAAAAGCATTACTTCCATTTGGACAGATCTGTGGACATATTTGGCTGGGGTTGGGGAGGGGTGGGGAAGTAAAAGTCCATAGGAAGACAGGTCCATCTGAAAAGACCTCCTGGAACAGGGGTAGTAGTAGTAGTAGTAGTAGTAGTAATAATAATAATAGTAATAGCTAAAACTTCTGTGTGCTGGCTATGATTGTGTGCCAAGCCAAGCACTGTTTTGGAAAGAAATGGCCTGGATCATGAGGAGGGGCAGGGGAGGGGGAATATGACTACAGTTGGGACTACGATTGGTGGAGGACACAGGCAGCAAGGACACAAGGTCTGGTGAGGAGTAAGGCTCACTGGAGCAGGTGATGAGGGCAGGGACTCACTGTCCTGTCTTGCCTGGCTGAGCACAGACAGCCCTCAGGACTTTTCTTAGCCCAATTCCACCTTCACTTCATTGGTTTTCTGCTCTTGGCTCCCTTCCCCAGAGGACAAGTAAACCATTCTAAACTTCTGGTTATTTGAAAGGAGTAGGTCCCAGAAGGAGGTGGCCTTTTCCCTTGCCTACTTGCCCCACCACTGAGATCCTCAGGTGATGCCTGAAGTTATTCCTGCACTCTGCCCTCCAGCTATCCTGAGGGGATGACAGCCTCTCCCCTTCTATTTCAAGAATTTTGGAGGCTCGGTGCAGTGGCTCATGCCTGTAATCCCAGCACTTTGGGAGGCCAAGACCACTTGAGGCCAGGAGTTCGAGATCAGCCTGGCAAACACGGGGAAACCCTGTCTCTACTAAAAATACAAAAATTAGCCAGTTACGGTGGCACATGCCTGTAGTCCCAGCTACTTGGGAGGCTGAGACGGGAGAACCGCTTGAATCCAGGAGGCGAAGGTTGCAATGAGCTGGGATCGTGCCACTGCACTCCAGCCTGGGTGACAGAAGGAGACTCTGTCTAAAAAATAAAAGAATTTGGGGATACCTGGGACACCTCACACCTTGCCCCAAGCCCAAGATCACAAGGTGGTAAAGCTATTTCATCCATCCTGCTGGCTCCAGCCCCTCCCCCTAGGGAATATCTCTCACCTGAGCCTTTCCTGACCACTCCAAAGTAGTATTTTCCATCACTCCATCTTCTAACTCTGCTCAAGTGTTCTTTATCTTGTAAGATTATAATATATGTTTGTTTGTCATCTGTTCTAGAATATAATTTCCCTTGAGGGTAGGAGGTTTGCTATTTTGTTCTGCACTGTATCCTCAGTGCCCAGGGGAATGCTTGGCATGACACACTGTAGGCACTTGATGAATGCTTGAGAAATGAGTGACGAAGTTCTGGGATGCTCCCTGGGCCCCAGTAGGTGCTCCACAGGGAAGATGTGAGAGAATTGAGAGAATTCCATGGTGCAAGCTGTGACCTGGGAGGGCAGAGCTACCTATTCAGGCTCGCATCAATACTTTCCTCCTGCCACAGACTCGGCCCAGCCTTCTGCCATCCCTGAGGCCTCCAACCCAGCCTCCAACCCAGCCTCTGATGGACTAGAGGCTATCGTCACAGTGACAGAGACCCTGGAGGAACTGCAGCTGCCTCAGGAAGCCACAGAGAGTGAATCCCGTGGGGCCATCTACTCCATCCCCATCATGGAGGACGGAGGAGGTGGAAGCTCCACTCCAGAAGACCCAGCAGAGGCCCCTAGGACGCTCCTAGGTAAGTCGGATCCCTTATCCTAAGGATGTCTTGATTGAAAGAAGTTGGGGGCAGAAGAGGCAAGCCCAGGTTGATGCTAGGGTGATGGATGACATGACTCTGCCCTGTCCTTTCTCAGTAGCTCAGGGGTGCAGGGCACCTTTCCTGTCCCTCTCCCAACCTTTGCTTTTCCAGTAAATTCCACCCCCAACTCTATGGAGCTAGAGATGCTTGCACTAAGGAGCTGCGCCCTGGAAAGGTGGAACCTGCCTTCTTTGGTCCCTCTTCCGCCTCACACACCCAAAACAGACTAGAGTTTTGACAGAGTAGGAGGGAGACAAATGACCATGTTCTCCGGGGCTAATGATGGCTCACAGAGCCTTCTCAAGTGTTGCCTCAACAATATGGCTGGGGTCAAGTTCTTCCAGTGTGGCGCAAGGACCACCTGTCCTCAGGGCGGTCTCTTCCCTATTCCCCAGGGCTCACCCTCCTGAGCCCTACTTTTCTCCCCTTCCCTTTTTCCTTTCGGTCCTTGGACAGACGCTGTCCCTGGTGCTGAACCGTTTGTGCTTTGCCTAGAATTTGAAACACAATCCATGGTACCGCCCACGGGGTTCTCAGAAGAGGAAGGTAAGGCATTGGAGGAAGAAGAGAAATATGAAGATGAAGAAGAGAAAGAGGAGGAAGAAGAAGAGGAGGAGGTGGAGGATGAGGCTCTGTGGGCATGGCCCAGCGAGCTCAGCAGCCCGGGCCCTGAGGCCTCTCTCCCCACTGAGCCAGCAGCCCAGGAGGAGTCACTCTCCCAGGCGCCAGCAAGGGCAGTCCTGCAGCCTGGTGCATCACCACTTCCTGATGGAGAGTCAGAAGCTTCCAGGCCTCCAAGGGTCCATGGACCACCTACTGAGACTCTGCCCACTCCCAGGGAGAGGAACCTAGCATCCCCATCACCTTCCACTCTGGTTGAGGCAAGAGAGGTGGGGGAGGCAACTGGTGGTCCTGAGCTATCTGGGGTCCCTCGAGGAGAGAGCGAGGAGACAGGAAGCTCCGAGGGTGCCCCTTCCCTGCTTCCAGCCACACGGGCCCCTGAGGGTACCAGGGAGCTGGAGGCCCCCTCTGAAGATAATTCTGGAAGAACTGCCCCAGCAGGGACCTCAGTGCAGGCCCAGCCAGTGCTGCCCACTGACAGCGCCAGCCGAGGTGGAGTGGCCGTGGTCCCCGCATCAGGTAATTCTGCCCAAGGCTCAACTGCCCTCTCTATCCTACTCCTTTTCTTCCCCCTGCAGCTCTGGGTCACCTGACCTGTAGTCCTTTAACCCACCATCATCCCAAACTCTCCTGTCCTTTGCCTTCATTCTCTTACCCACCTCTACCTATGGGTCTCCAATCTCGGATATCCACCTTGTGGGTATCTCAGCTCTCCGCGTCTTTACCCTGTGATCCCAGCCCCGCCACTGACCATCTGTGACCCTTCCCTGCCATTGGGCCCTCCACCTGTGGCTCACATCTCGCCAGCCCCACAGAGCATCCTCAGGCCTCTCCAAGGGTCCTCATCACCTATTGCAGCCTTCAGGGCTCGGCCTATTTTCCACTACTCCCTTCATCCGCCTGTGTGCCGTCCCCTTTAGCTGCCTCCTATTGATCTCAGGGAAGCCTGGGAGTCCCTTCTCACCCCTCAACCTCCGGAGTCCAGGAGAACCCGTACCCCCA